>NC_000006.12:122949577-123252608 GCF_000001405.40 Homo sapiens
GATTAAAACAACAAGATCCAAACATATGCTGTCTATAAGAAACTCACTTTAGATTTAAGGCAGGTATAGGCCGAAAGTTAAACAATGGAAAAAGGTATTTAATTCAAATGGCAACCAACTGAGGGCAGTAGTGGCCATACTGATATCCAACAAAATAGACTTTAAATCGAAAACTGTCACAAGAGACAAAGAAGGACTGTATATAGTAATTAAAGGGTTAATTCACCAGGAATGTATAACTGTTATGATTATGTATCCATCCAACATCAGAGTCCCCAAATATATGAAGTAAACATTGACAGAATTGTAGGGAAAAATAATAGTAGTAAAAGATTTCAATACTTCAGTTTCAATAGTGGGTAGAACATCTATACAGAAGATCAATAAAAAATAAATAGAACTTTAACAATGTTACAGGCCAAATGGACATTTAACATGTAACATTTAACAATGTTACAGGTCATATACAGAATGTTTCACCCAAAGGTAGTAGAATACACATTATTCTCAAGCACACATGAAACATTCTTCCATATAGCTCACATTAGGTTATAAAACATGTTTTAAATTAAGAACATTGACATCATATCAAGTATCTTTTCTGACCACAGTGAAATAAAACTGGAAATCAGTAACAGAAGAAAAACTAGAAAATTTATAATTACATGAAAATTGAACAACACACTCTTGAACAATCAATAAGTCAAACACAAAATCAAAAGGCAAAGTAGAAAATATCTTGAGACAAAAAACCAAAACAAAACATATAAAATATTGTGGGATTCAGCAAAAGCATTTCTAAAAGGAGAGCTTATACTAGTAAGTGCCTACATTTACAAAGTTTAAAGATCTTGAATAAACAACCTAACTTTACATTTTGAGGAACAAGAAAAACAAACTAAGCCCAAAGTTAACAAAAGCAAAGAAATAAATAATAAAGATTAGATCAGTATAAATTAAAAAAAGAAAAACAACAAAACATCAGCAAAACTAAAAGTTGGTTTTTTGAAAATATCAACGAATTGAAAAAGCTTTAGTTTGATTAAGAGAAAAAGAAAACACAAATGAAATAAGAAATGAAACAGGGTAACTTGTTAGCTTGAAAGTAGGAAGAAAATTTAAAAAAAGAAACGAAAGAGGAGACAATACAACAGAAATAAAAAGGACTACAATAAATTATGATGAACAATTATTTGTGATTGAATTAGGTAATCTAGAAGTGAATAAATTCCTCATACAGCTTACCAGAACTGAACACTGAAAAAATAGAAGATCTTAACAGACCTATAACTAGTAAGGGGATTGATCAGGAATCAAAAATATCACAACAAAGAAAAGCCCAGGGCCAGATGTATTTACAGACAAATTCTACTAAACATTTAAAAAATAACTATTGCCAATCCTCACACTATTAAAAAAAGTTTAAGAAGAGGGAAACCTTCATAATTTCTTTTATGTGGCTGGCATTAGCCAGATACCAAAGCTAGACAAAGACACTGCAAGAAAAGAAAACTATAGGAAATCAATAATTCAGTCAATCAATCAATCAATTAATCAATCAAACTATTCATTCCTGATGAATGTAGATGCAGAAATTCTCAATAAAATAATAGCAAGTTGAATTCAACAGTACATCAGAAGGATTATGCACCATGACCTTGTGAGATTTATCCCTGGGATGCAAGGATAATTCACCATATGAAAATCAATCAGTGTTATATACCACATTAACAGAAAGAAGGAGAAAAATTATTTGATCATCTCAATAGATGCAGATAAAGCATCTGACAAAATTCAATATTCTTTCATGATAAAAAAACACTTAACAAATAAGGAATAGAAGAAAATCAGATCAGCATAATAAAGACTTTATATGAAAAGCCCACAGCTAACATTACACTAAATGGAGAAAAACTGAAAGCTTTTTCTCTAAGATCTGGAACAAGACAAGGATACCCACTCTCATCACTTCTATTCAACATAGTACTGGAAGTCCTACTCAGGACAATTAGGCCAGAAAAAGAAATAAATGGCATCTAAATTAGAAAGAAAGACTTACAATTATGTCTGTTCTCAAAAGGCATGATGATATGTGTAGAAAACTCAAAGATCCTCCAAAAATTTTTAAAACTAATAAATACATTCAGCAAATTTTCAGGATACAAAATCAACACACAAAAATCTGTTGTGTTTCTATACACTAAAAACAAGCCAAAAAGGAAATTAAGAAATATTCCCATTTACAATAGCATCAGAAGGAATATTTCAACTTATACTTACGAATAAAGTTAACCAGTAGGCAAAAGATATATACACTGAACTATAAAACATTGCTGAAAAAAACTAAAGAAGTCTCAAGTAAATGGAAATACATCTCATATTGATGGGTTGAAGGAATTAATATTGTTAGAATGTCCACACTATGCAAAGTGATCTACAGATTTAATGCAATCTCTATCTCATATTCATATGAAACCACAAACAATCAAATAATTAAAACAATCTTGAGAAAGAAAAACAAAACTGGAGGCCTCAAACTTCCTGACTTTAAAACATATTATAAATCTATTCAATGCAATCTCTGTCAAAATCCCAATGAAATTTTTTTCCAAAAGAGAAAAAATTATCATATTCATATGAAACAACAAAGGATATTGAATAGCCAAACCAATCTTGAGAAAGAACAAAACTGGAGACCTCACCACTTCTGGCTTCAAAACACATTATAAATCCATAGTATTATAAACAGTATGACCCTAGCATAAATACAGATATTTAGGCAAATGAAACAAAATAGAGGGATCAGAAAGAAACCCACATATATATAGTCAAATGACCTTTGAGAAGCATGCCAAAACTACACAATGAAAAAAATATGTAGCACCCAATACTTCAATAAATGGTTCTGGGAAAATTGGATATCCACATGAAACAGAACAAAATTGAACCCTTATCTTACACCATACACAAAATCAACTCGAATTGGATTAAAAACTTAAGCTTCATTACACCGGTGTTGGGAATGCTTTCTTGATTATGACAGCAAAGGCACAGGCAGCAAAAGCACAGGCAACAAAAGCAAAAATAGACACGTGAGACTACTTTAAACTAAAAGCTTCTGCACAGCAAAGGAAAGATGGGTTAATATCCAAAATATATGAGAAACTTCCACAACTCAATATAAAAAAGCCTTTAAATGTTTAAAGGACTTTTTTTTTCAAAATAGACTTACAAGTGGTCAACAGGTATATAAAAAGATGCTCAGCACTCATCATAGGTGAAATGCGAATCAAAACCACAGTGGGATATGGCTTTACACCTGTTAGGATAGCAATTATTCAAAAACAAGAAGAACAGAAACAACAACCAGAAAATAGCAAGTGTTGGTAAGGATGTGGAGAAATTGGAATACTTGTGCACTGTTGGTGGGAATACAAAATGGGGCCGCTTCTATGGAAAACAGTACAAAAGTTCCTCAAAAAGTTAAAAATAAAACTACCACATGATCCAGCAACCCTACTTCTGGATACTTGTACAAAAAGTTGAAAACAGGATCTCAAAGGGGCATTTGTCCTCCTATGTTTATTCTGCATTATTCGCAAAGGCAAAATGGTAAAAACAACCTAAGTGTCAATGGATGAATAGTTAAAGACAATGTGGTATATACATATAAGAGAATATTATTCAGCCTTGAAAAAGAAATGTTCTATCATATGCTACAACATAAATGAACCTTGAAGACATTATGATAAGAGAAATGAGAAAGTCATAAAAGTACAAACACTATGTTTCCACTTATATGAAGTATCTAAAATCATCACACTCATAGAAGCAGAAAGTAGAGTAGTGAGTTAGTATCTTAAAAAGATATCTGCCTCTCATGTTCAATGCAGCATTATTCACAATAGCCAAAATATGGAAACAACCTAAGTGTCCATTGATGGATGACTGAATGAAGAAATTGTGGTATGTATATACAATGGAATATTCAGCCTTAAAAAAGAAGGATTTCCTGTCACTTGTGACAACATGGATGAACACAGAAGACATTACACTAAGTGAAATAAGTCAGACACAGAAAGATAAATACTGCATGATCTAATATGCAGAATCTAAAAAGTTTAACTCATAGAAACAGAGAGTAGAGATTCTGGCCAAGACAGGCAACTAGAAGTAGCTAGCGTGTGCTGCTCTCATAGAGAGAAGAGAGTGGTGAGTAAACACTTGCTCTTCAACTGGAACATCCAGAGGAACACATTGGGATTCATCAAGGAAGCAAAGCAACCCACAGAGAATGGGAGAAGAACAAGACTGGACAACTAACCAACCAGGAGTGGTGTGGAGCTAGGGGAGGCCTCCGACTGTGAGGAAACAATGAGTGAGAGTCCCTGGGGATTCACACTTCTTCCATGGATCTTTGCAATCTAGGCTCAGGAGATCCCCCATGAGTCACCCTACCTCCACTAGGGCCTCAGCTCATCCAGAAAAGAAGTCAATTGACTGTAATCAAATTACACCACTGTTAAAGAAACATCAGCCCACACAGATCAGAAAGAACCAGCACAAGAACATTGGCAGTTCAGTAAGCCAGAGTGTTTTCTTTCCTCCAAATGACCATACCATTTCCATAACAAGGGCTCTTAACCAGGATGAAATGGCTGAAATGATAGATACAAAATTCAGAATATGTATAGGAAGATCATCGACTTTTGGAAGAAAGTAGAAATCCAATACAAAGAAACTAAGGATTACAATAAAATAATACAAGAGCTGAAAGACAAAATGGCCATTATAAAAAATAACCAAACTGATCTGATAGAGCTGAAAAACACACAACAAGGATTTCATAATACAGTCACAAGTTTTAACAGCAGAATAGACTAAGCTGAGGAAAATCTCAGATTCTGAAGATTGGTTCTTTGAACTAACTCAGTCAGACAAAAATAAAGAAAAAATTTAAAAAGAATAAAAAAATTCCAAGAAATATGGAATTATGTAAAAAGACCAAATATATGATTCATTGACATCCCCAAAAAAGAGGGAGAGTAAACAAGCATCTTAGAAAACATATTTGAGGTTATGGTCCATGAAAATTTCTCTAGCCTCACTGGAGAGGCCAACATTCAAATTCAGAAAATGCAGAGAACCCCTGTGAAATACTATGTAAGATAACTATCCCCAAGACACAATCATTAGATTCTCCAAGGTCAATATGAAAGAAAAATATTAAAGGCAGCTAGAGAAAAGGGGCAGGTCACCTACAGAGGGAAATCCATCAAGCTAATAGCAGAACTTTCAGCAGAAATCTAAAATGCTGGAAGAGAGTGGGGTTCTATATTAGGCATTTTTAAAGAAAAGAAATTCCAACCAAGGATTTCATATCCAGCCAAACTAGCTTCATAAGTAAAGGAGAAATAAGATCCTTTTCAGACAAGCAGATGCTAAGGAAATTTGTTACCATCAGACCTGCCTTACAAGAAGTACTTAAGGAGGTGCTAAATATGGAAATGAAAGACCATTACCAGCTACCACAAAAACATATTTAAGTATATAGTCCATTGACACTATAAAGCAACCACACTATCAAATCCACATAATAAGCTAACAACATGATGACACGATCAAATTTGCATATATCAATATTAACCTTAAATATAAATGGGCTAAATGCCCTCAAATAAAAGGCATAGAATGGCAAGTTAGACAAAGAAGAAAGACCCAACTGTATGCTGTCTTCTAGAGACCCATCTCACATGCGATGACACCCATAGATTCAAAGTAAAGGGATGAAGAAAAATATACCAAGCAAATGGAAAAGAGAAAAAAGGAGAGGTTGCTATTCTATTTCCAGACAAAACAGACTTTAAATCAACAACCATCAAAAAAGACAAGGAAGGGCATTACATGATGGTAAAGGGTTAAATTCAGCACAAAGACTTGACCATCCTTAATATTTATGCACCCAACACAGAGGCATCCAAATTCATGAAGCAAGTTCTTAGAGACCTATGGAGAGACTTAGATAACTACACAATAATAGTAAGAGACCTCAATACCCTACTGACAGTATTAGAAACATCATCGATGCAGAAAATTAACAAAGATATTTAGGACCTGAACTGAACACTTGACTAGATGGGCCTAACATATATCTACAGAACTCTCCACCAAAGAACAACAAAATCCTATATTCTTCTCATTTGCACCTGGAACATACTCTAAAATCAACCACAAAATTGGTCATAAAAGAAACATCAGCAAATAAAAAAAAGAAAGAAAAGATACCAGACACGATTTCAGGCCACAATATAGTAAAAATAAAAATTAATGCTAAGAAAATTGCTAAGAGAGGAAAAAAAAAGTGGTGGCTAAGAGGAAGGACTAACTTGCAACTCCCTTTTGGAAGGACAGAGTAGTGTGTGGAGGCTCACATCATGAACTTTTGCTCCTGCAATTACTGCAGGAATATACCAGGAAAGCAGAGGGAATCCACAGACCCTTCGAAGGAGGTGAAATGCTGCTGCAGGCACCATAGGATAGTCAAAGAACTGTGAATTGGCTTGCTTTCTCAGCTGGGAGGCTGTAACCTGGGGCACGTTCCTCACCTCTGCTCACTGACTGCCTGGAAATAAACTCAGTGTTGTTGGGGGTGTACAATGGGAGTGAGACTGGTCTTTTGGGCTGTGGGCTGCCTGGGACATGGGTGAGGCCGGTGGCTGCCAGCTTTCCCCCACTTCACTGGTGATCTGTGTGACAGAGCAGAGGCAGCCAGAATTTCACTGGGAACATAACTCCTTTGACCTGGGAACCACCTGCCCATCCCCCACAGCAGCTGCATCAAGCCCTGCCCAAGAAAAATCTGAGCTTAGACACACCTACCTTGCCCCTGCCTGATGGTCTTTCTCTACCCACACTGGTGGCCAAAGACAATGGACATAATTTCTTTGGAGCTCTATGGCGCCACTCACCACCTGACCCTCTCTACACTACCACAGCTGATGCACACTTGGAAGCGCCACCTCCTGGATGGAGTCCAGCCAACACAAAACCAGTGTACTTAACAAAAATACAGCAAAGGACCCTCACAGAATCCACTTCACTCCCCTGCTACCTCCACCAAATCAGGGGTTGGTATCCACAGCTGAGAGACCTGAAGATGGATCACATTACACATTGTAGGACTCTTTGCAGACAACCCTCTCTACCAGCCCAGAGCCTGGTAGCACTGCTTGGTGGCTAGATCCAGAAGAGAAATAAAAATTAGTGCATTTCAGCTCTCAGGAAGCCTCATTCCTAGGGGAAAAAGGAGAGCACCATATTAAGGGAACACCCCGTGGGAGAAATGAATCTGAATAGCAGGCCTTGAGTCCCAGATCTTCGCTCTGACATGGTCTATCCAAATGAGAAGGAACCAGGAAAACAATTCTGGTAATATGACAAAACAAAGTTTTTTTAACCTCCCCCCCAAAATCACTCTAGCTCGACAACAATGGATCCAAACCAAGACAAAATCTCTGAATTGTCAGAAAAAGAATTGAGAAGGTTGATTATTAAGCCAAACAAGGAGGCACCAGAGAAAGGTGAAGTCCAACTTAAAGGAAAAAAAAAAAAAGATCAGGATATGAATGGAAAAATCTTCAGTAAAATAGATAGAATAAGCAAAAAACAATCACAACTTCTGGAAATGAAAGACACACTTAGAGAAATGCAAAGTGCACTGGAAAGTCTCAGCAATGGAATCGACAAACAAAAAAAAGAAACTCAGTGCTTGAAAACAACGCTTTTGAATTAACCCAGTCTTACAAAGAAAAAGACAAAAGAATAAAAAAATAAATAAACAAAGCCTCCAAGAAGTTTGGGATTATGTTAAATGACCAAACCTAAGAATAATTGATGTTCCCAAGGAAGAAGAGAAATCTAAAAGTTTGGAAAGTATATTTGAGGGAATAGTTGAGGGAAACTTTCCCAGCCTTGTTAGAGATCTAGACATCCAAATACAAGAATGTCAAAGAATGCCTGTAAAATTCATCACAAAAAGATAATCACCTAGGCACATAGTCATCGGGTTATCTAAAATCAAGACAAAAATAGTCTTAAGAGATGTGAGGCAAAAGCATCAGGTAACTTCTAAAGGAAAACCTATCAGATTAACAGCAGATTTCTCAGCAGAAACCCTACAAGCTACAAGGAATTGGGGTTCCATCGTTAACCTCCTTAAACAAAACAATTATCAGCCAATAATTTTGTATCCAGTGAAACTAAACTTCATAAATGAAGGAAAGATAGAGTCTTTTTCAGACAAACAAATGCTCAGAGAATTTGCCGCTACAAAGCCAGCACAATAAGAACTGCTAAAAGGAGCTCTGAATCTTGAAACAAATCCTCAAAATACACCAAAGTAGAATCCCCTTAAAGCATAAATCCCATAGGACCTATAAAACAACACCACAATGAAAAAAAAACCAAACAAGGCACTCAGACAACAAAAAGCACAATGAATAGATTAGTACCTCACATGTCAATAATAACATTGAATGTAAATGGACTAAATACTCCACTTAAAAGATACAGAATGGCAGAATGGATAAGAATTTACCAACAAAGTATCTGCTATCTTTAAGAGATTCACCTGAAGCATAAGAACTCACATAAGGTAAAGGGATAGAAAAAGATATTCCATGCAATTGGACAAAAAAAGTGAGCAGGAGTAGCTATTCTTATATCAGATGAAACAACCTTTAAAGCAACAGCAGTTAAAAAAGACAAAGAGGGACATTATATAATGACAAAAGGACTAGTCCAACAGGAAAATATCATAATCCTAAATATATATTCATCTAACACTGGAGCTCCCAAATTTACAATTAGACCAAAGAAAAGAGGTAGATAGCAACACAATAATAGTGGGGGACTTTAATACTCCACTGACAGCACTAGACGGGTCATCAAGGTAGAAACTCAACAAAGAAACAATAGACTTAAACTATACCCTAGAACAAATGGACTTAACAGATATTTACAGAGCATTCTATCCAACAACTGCAGAATATACATTCTATTTATCAGCACACGAAATATTCTGCAAAATAGACCATATGATAGGCCACAAAACAAGTCTTAACAAATTTAAGAAAATCAAAATTGTAGCAAGTACTCTCTCAGACCACAGTGGAATAAAAGTGTAAATCAACTCCAAAAGGAACTTCAAAACCGTGCAAATACATGGAAATTAAATAACCTACTCCTGAATGATCATTGGGTCAATAATTAAATGAAGATGGAAATTTAAAAAGTCTTTGAACTGAATAATAGTGACAAAAACTATCAAAACCTCTGGGATACAGCAAAGGCAGTGCTAAGAGGAAAGTTCACAGCATTAAATATCTGTATCAAAAAGTCTGAAACAGCACAAATAGACAATCTAAGGTCACATCTCACAGAACTGGAGAAGCAAGAACAATCCAAACCCAAGCCCAACAGAAGAAAACAAATAACAAAGATCAGAGCACAATTAAATGAAATTGAAACAAAAAATACAAAAGATAAATAGAACAAAAACTGTTTTTTTGAAAATATAAATAAAATTGATAGACCATTAGTGAGATTAACCAAGAAAAGAAGAGAGAAGATCCAAATAAGCTCAATTAGAAATGAAATAGGAGAAGTTACAACTGATGTCACAGAATTGCAAAATATCATTGAAGGCTACTATGAACATCTTTGGAAAAATAAACTAGAAAACCTAGAGGAGATGGATAAATTCCTGGAAATATACAACCCTCTAGATTAAACCAGGAAGAAATAGAAACTCTTAAAAGACCAAAAATAAGCAGGAAGATTGTAATGGTAATTAAAACGTTACCAACAACAAAAAGGTCCAGGAACAGATGAACTCACACCTGAATTCTATCAGACCTTCAAAGAAGAATTGTACCAATTCTATTGATACTATTTCAAAAGACAGAGAAGGAGGGAATCCTCCCTAAATCATTCTATGAAGCCCATATCACCCGAATACCAAAACCAGGAAATTACATAACAAAAAAAGAAAACAACACACCAATATCCCTGATGAACATAGATGCAAAAATCCTCAACAAAATACTAGTTATCGAAATCCAACAGCATATCAAAAGAATAATTCACTATGATCAAGTGGGTTTCTTACCAGGAATGCAGGAATAGTTTAACATATGCAAGTCAATAATTGTGATACACCACATAAACAGAGTTAAAAACAAAAATCACATGATCATCTGTATAGACACAGAAAAAGCATTTGACAAAAACAAGCATCCCTTTATGATTAAAACCTCAGCAAAATTGGCATAGATGGGACATACCTTAATGTAATAAAAGCCTTCTATGATAAGCCCACAGCCAACATTATACTGAAAAGGAAAAAGTTGAAAGCATTTTCCATGAGAACTGGAACAAGACATGGATGCCCACTCTCACCACTACTATTCCACATAGTACTGGAAGTCCTAGCCAGAGGAATCAGATGAAAAAGGATAAAGGCCATTCAAATTGGTAAAGAGGAAGTCGAACTGTTGTTGTTTGCTGATGGCATTATTGTATACATAGAAAACCCTAAGAACTCACCCCAAAAGCCCTTAGAACTGGTAAATGAATTTAGCAAGATTTCACGACACAAAATTAATGTACACAAATAAGTGGCTCTGCTATATGCAAACAGCAAGCAAGCTGAGAAACAAATAAATAACTCAACCTCATTTACAATAGCTGCAAAAAAAAAACACCACCAAAACTTAGGAATATACCTAACCAAGGAGGTGAAAGACTTTGACAAGGAAAGATACAAACCACTGCTGAAAGAAATCATAGATGACACACACACACACAATGGAAATACATCTCATGCTCATGGATGGTAGAATCAATATTGTGAAAATGGCTATACTGCCAAAAGCAATCTACAAATTCAATGCAATTCCCATAAAAATACCACCATCATTCTTCATAGAACTAGAAAAAATAATTCTAAAATTCATAGAGAACCAAAAAAAGCCCACATAGGGGAAGCAATACTAAGTGAAAAGACTAAATCTGGAGGTATCAAATTACCTGATGATAACAGTTTAGCTCTATGTCCCTACCAAAATCTCATCTTGTAGCTCACATAATTGCCATGTGTTATGGGAGGGACCTCGTGGGAGATGATTAAATCATGGGGGTGGTCATTCCTATGCTATTCTCATGGTAGTAACCGGGTCTCATGAGATCTGATGGTTTAACAAATGGGAGTTTCTCTGCACAAGCTCTGTCTTTGCCTCCTGCCATCCATGTAAGATGTGACTTGCTCCTCCTTTCCTTTTGCCACGATTGTGAGGCCTTCCCAGCCACGTGGAACTGTAAGTCCAATTAAACCTCTTTCTTTTGTAAATTGCCCAGTCTTGAGTATGTCTTTATCAGCAGCGTGAAAATAGGCTAATACACCTGACTTCAGATTATAAGTGTATAGTCACCAAAACAGCATGGTACTGGTATGAAGATAGCCATATAGACCAATGGAACAGAATAAAGAATCAAAAAATAAAGTCAAACACTTGTAGTTGACTGATTTTTAATAAAGCAAACAAAAACATAAAGTGGAGAAAGCACACCCTGTTCTACAAATTGTGCTGGGATAATTCACAAGCCATGCGTAAAAGAATGAAACTGAATTCTCATTTCCAAATTTATACAAATATCAGGTCAAGATGAATCAAAGACTTACAGCTAAGATCTGAAACCATAAAACTTTTAAAGGATAACATTGGAAAAACCCTTCTAGACATGGGCCTAGGCAGACCTCATGACCAAGGGCCCAAAAGAGAATGCAATAAAAATACAGATAAATAAACGGGTCTTGATTAAACTAAAAAGCTTCTGCACAGCAAAAGAATCAGCAGAGTAAACAGACAACCTACAGAATAGGATTGGGTAATTTATAAAGAAAGAGGTTTAATTGACTCACAGTTCAGCATGGCTGGGGATGCCTCAGGAAACTTACAGTCATGGTGGAAGCTAACTAGACTAATAAAGAAAAAAAGAGAGAAGATCCAAGTAAACACAATCAGAAATGCCAAAAGGGACATTACCACTGACCCCCCAGAAATACTAAAAACTTTCAGAGACTACTGTAAACACCTCTATGCACTCAGACTAGAAAACTTAGAACTGGATAATTTCCTGGAAACATACCACCTTCCAAGGTTGAGCTAGAAAGTAATTGAACCCCTAAACAGATCAATAATGTGGTCCATAATTGAATCAGTAATAAATAGCCTACCAACCAGAAAAAGCCACCAGACCAATTCATAGCCAAATTCTACCAGCTGTGTAAAGAAGAGCTGCTACCATCCCTACTGAACCTGTTCCAAATAAATTTAGAAGGAACTCCTCTCTAATTCATTCTATAAGGCCAGCATCATCCTGATATGAAAACCCAGCAGAGACACACACACAAAAAGAAAACTTGAGGGTAATATCTTTAATGAACACCTACACAAAAATTCTCAACAAAATACTAGCAAATCCAGCAGTACATCCAAAAGCTAATTCACCACAATCAAGTAGGATTTATCCCTGGGATGCAAGATTGGTTCTACATATGCAAATATATAAGTGTGATTCACCACATAAACAGAACTAAAAACAAAAACCACATGATCATCTGAATAGATGCAGAAAAGGCTTTGGATACAATTCAATTTTCCTTTATGTTAAAAATCCTCAACAAACTAGGCATTGAAGGATCATACCTCCAAATAATAAGAGCCATGAATGATAAGCCTACAGCCAACATTATGCTGAATGGGCAAAAGCTGGAACCATTCTTCTTGATAACTGGAACAAGATAAAGATGCCCACTCTCACCACTCCTATTCAGTATAATACTGGAAGTCCTAACTGGAGCAATCAGGCAAGAGAGAGAAATAAAATATATTCAAATAGAAAGAGAGGATGTCAAATGTTCTCTGTTTGCAGATGATATGATTCTATATCTAGAAAATTCCATAGTCTCTGTCCAAAAGCTCCTAGATCTGATAAGCAACTTTGGCAAAGATTTAGAATACAAAATCAATGCACAAAAATCATTAGCATTCCTATACATCGACAATGTCTAAGCTGAGAGTCAAATCAAGAGTGCAGTTTCATTCATGATAGACACACAAATAATAAAATACCTAGGAATACAGCTAGCCAGGGGGATAAAAGATCTTTGCAATGAGAATTACAAAATGCTGCTCAAAGAAATCAGAGATGACCCAACCAAATGGAAAAACATTCCATGCTCATGGATAGGAAGGATCAATATCATTGAATGGCCATACTACCCAAAGCAATTTGTAGATTCATTGCCATTCTTATAAAAATACCAATGATGTTCTTCACAAAATTAGACAAAAACTATTCTAAAATTCATATAGTACCAAAGGAGCCTGAATAGCTCAAGTCAACCCTAAGCAAAATGAACAGAGCTAGAGGCATCACACTACCTGACATCAAACTATATTACAAGGCTATAGTAAACAAAACTGCATGGCACTGGGACAAAAAAAGACACATAGACCAATGGAATAGAATTGAGAGCCCTAAAATAATGTTGCTCACCTAGAATAATCTAATCTTTGACAAAGCAAGCAATGGGGAAAGAAATTCCTATACAATAAATGGTGCTGAGATAACTGGCTAGCCATATGCAGAAGATTAAAACTGGACTCCTTCCTTACACAATATAGAAAAATCAATTCAAGATGGATGAAACACTTAAATGTAAAACCTAAAACTATATGAAGCACTTAAATGTAAAACCTAAAACTACAGAAATTCTGGAAGATGACTTAGGAAATGCCATTTCCTGACAAAGATTTTATGATGAAGACAACAAAGCAATTGCAACAAAAACAAGAATTAACAAATGGGACCTAATAAAACTAAAGAGCTTCTACATAGCAAAGGAAACTATCAACAGAGTGAACAGACAACCTACAGAATGGGAGAAAATATTTGCCAACTATGCATCCAACAGAGGTCTAGTATCCAGCATCTATAAGGAACTGAAACAATAAGCAAAACATGAACAACCCCATTAAAAAGTGGAAAAAGGACATGAACAGACACTTTTCAAAAAAGGTGTACACATGGCCAACAAGCATATGAAAAAAATGTTCAACATCACTAATCATTAGAGAAATGCAAGTCAATATGATGATGAGATACCATCTCACAGCAGTCTCACTGGCTATTACTAAAATTCAAAAAATGACAGATGCTGAACAGGCCGCAGAGAAAAGGGAATGCTTATATTACACTGGTGGGTGTGTAAATTAGTTCCACCATTGTGGAAAGCAGTTTGGCGATTTCTGAAAGAACTTAAAACAGAATTACCATTCAACCCAGAAATCTCATTATTGAGTATGTAGCCAAAGGAATATAAATTACTCTACCATAAAGACAAATGCGTGCATATGTTCATTGTAGCACTATCCACAATAGCAAAGACATGGAATCAGCCTAAATGCCCATCAATGGTAGGCTGAATAAAGAAAACATGGTACACATACACCATGGAATACTATGTAGCCATAAAAAGGACAAGATTATGTCCTTTGCAGAAAGATGGATGGAGCTAGAGGCTATTAACCTAAGTGAACTAATGCAGGAACAGAAAATCAAATATTATACTGATGTTCTCACTTGTAAGTGGAAGCTAAACATTGAGAACACATGGACACAAAGAAGGGAACAATGGACATTGGGACCTAATTGAGGGTGAAGGATGGGAGGAGGGAGGCAATAGAAAAACTACCTATCAGGTACTATGCTTATTGCTTGAGTGATGAAATAATCTGTACACCAAACCCCTGTGACTTGCAATTTACCTGTATAAAAAAAAATGACTTGTATCCCTGAACCTAAAATAAAAGTTAAAAAAAAGAAAAGAAAAAAGAACCATAGACTAGAAGAATGGTGGCCAGGAATTAGGGAGTGGGGACAATGGGATAATGTCTGTTAAAGGGAACAATCTTTCAATTATGGGATGAATAAGTTATAAAGACCTCATGTACAGCATGGTGACTATGGTTAATAATAATGTATCTTTGAAATTTGCTAAAAGAGTAGATCTTAAGTATTCTCACCTCTCTCACACACACAAGGTAGGTGAAGTTATAGATGTGTTAATTAGCTTGATTGTGGAAACTATTTTACTATATATATGTATATAACATCATGTTGTATATGTTGAATGTATACAATTTTTATTTGTCAATTATACCTCAATAAAGCTGAAAAAACAGTAATCTAAAAAAAAAAAGAAAAGAAAGTTGAATGATAAAGAAAATTGTATAATTTTGGAGTGGAAGGAAGGGTTGAATGGAGAGTTGCTGTTCAATGGTTATAGAGTTTCAGTCATGCAAAATGCAAAAGTTCTGGAGGTTTTCTCCACAATAATATGCATAGAGTTAATAATACTGTACTATACACTTTTTTTTTTTCAAGACCGAGTTTCTCTCTGTTGCCTAGGCTGGAGTGCAATGGTACGATCTCAGCTCACTGCAACCTCTACCTCCCAGGCTCAAGTGATTCCCCTGCCTCAGCTTCCCAAGTAGCTGGGAAATTTTTGTATTTTTAGTAGAGACGAGGTTTCAACATGTTGGCCAGGCTGGTCTGGAACTCCTGGCCTCAAGTGATCCACCTGCCTTGGCCTCCCTAAGTGCTGGGATTATATGCATGAACCATCTCTCTGGCCCTACACTTACAATTTTAAGTGGGTAGATTTTATGTTTTTTTTTTCTACAAAAAATTTTTTAATTAGTGTTTCTTAGGAAGAAAGAAGGGAAGTTGCATAGATTCTTGGTAAGTAAAAACAATGTTAATGATACTCTATTCAAACAGAATCTTTGATTCATGAGGAATCAAGACTGTACTTCAATATCCAAGGCTGAGATTTATTGGCCTATGACCTATCCATTTTAATTAAAAATAGAAAGAAAAATCAGAAAGATGTATATGTTGTACTGGGCATAATATTATTATCTACCAGTTGTGGAATTCCTACTATGTGTCAAAATACTAAGCTAAGCTCTTTACATGCGGTACCTAATTTAACCCTTTCAATAATTCTATTACAGTAGGTACAATGATATCCATTTCATAGATATAAAAATCAAGCCTCAGAGTTTCAGCAGCTTGCTCCAGATAAGTAATGTATGGAAGAGAGACTCAAAGCCAAGCAGTAGAATGGCAAAGCCCACTCCCTTAGAACATTCCAGAGAAAAGTCAGAGGGCTCTATTATAAGAAAACTTGCTTAGAGTTAATTTGCCTTAAGTGATTGACAAAATCACTATAGAAGCATAAAAGCAGCAAAAATATTAACATTGATCCACAACATTTTGTGTAATCACTTGAAGGTAAAGGAAAGAGCAAGAATCATATAATGATCACATTTTGTCTCTGCTGATATGGCTCCAATTTGTATTTTCCCCTTCACTGTTCTAGTATGGGATGACCTTGACTTTCTAACACAAAAATATGAATTCTGTTGTCCTAAGTTAATGCAGAAATGGAGACTCTTAATGTTTCCACTCTTCTCTTTTAACTTCTGCCTAATTATATAAACCCTGAATATAATTAAATGCTCAGAGAGGTTGCCATAATCCTTTAAGGTAGTTAGCTACTCTCCGCAGAAAGTTCAGTTCTGTGTTTCTTTAGAAAAGTTGGACAAATTGCTCTCATGGACTAGTAAGCAGATTGTCGATAGGACACTTGCTTTCTTATTCTAAGTGCTGTTTTTTGTCACTATGGGTAGGGGCAAGCCTGATGTTTCACATCTTAATTTTTACTTGGTTAGGAAAATTATGTATTTCCCTTCACAGGTGACATGCTAAGGGCCATCACACCTACTATGTGGTGCACTTATAACAAATCTGAGGTCACGTTCCTGCATCACTTTTCCCCTGTAAGGCCATCAAAGGGGTCCAGGGTAAATAAGTCACACTTTTCATTTTTCCTTTTCATGTTATACTAAATTTGTTCCCATCCTTGGTTTTATTCTTGCATTATTTTAGAGAGTATTCTCTAAGTTCCATAAAAAGTCTGAAATTTAAAATGTGCCAAGCCATATGCATATTATAAAGAATTTGAGAATAATATATTCAACTGGTGTTTTCTTATCATTTCCTTTTCCCAATAGCTCTTCTCATCCATTATTCTCAAAGGAATTTTAATTTTCGTTTTTATGCAGATTTTTTCCATTAACTTTGTTTTCTTTGGCTAGCTCATGGAAGAATTTGAATACTCAGTAAATGTTTTTGCAGAGTGAACATTTTGTTTATTGAAAGGAGATGAGTTGAAGTAGAATCTACAGGTCTAAAGCTCTAAGAGTTATAATCTTGGGCTTCCTTCAGAGTCATTCTGTTGTCAATATCAGAAGGAACCATTTACTTGAATAATTTACCATCTATGCTCCCAAGTGAGTGTTTAAAATTGTCTCTATTTTCTTTAACTTTTTATTGTGGGCATTTTCATACACACAGAAAATTAAAGAGAATAGCATAGCAAGTCCTATATATCCATAACCGTGCTTCAACACTTAGCAACATTTTCTCAATTATTTTGAAACTTTCCACTACCCTCACTTTTTCCCCCTAGAGTGTTTTAAAGAGAATCCCAGACATCACATCATTTCACCTGCATGTAATTTTATTTGCATGGAGCCCTTGTTAAAGGTTAAGGATTGTATAAGAAAAATATTCAAATGAATGTGACAAACACAAGTATCTCCCCTGGATATGCTCATGTGGTACAGTATTGAGGAGCCCTGGGAAGTTTCTAGTTCCCTTGAGTTAGAAGTCCTGACTCAGATATATGCTACCAGTGGGATTTTGGTCATGTACCTTGTGTTCTATGTCCTCAGTTCTCATCTCTAAAGTAGGAATTAAAAACTGTCCTTTAGCTCAGAGGCAAATACTGGCTTGTTATAAGGATGAAATATATAAAGAATACAGGTTCACTTTAGAAACTTCAAATACAAAATATTAAGACACCTTTTATAGAGAATTGAGCATTGTAAACACCAAATAAATGTGTTAAATGGAAGAATGTGCATGTAAAAAACAAATTAAAGTTATTATCTGTACAAGGTTGTGTGGAAAGTATAAAGTTGGATCACTTAAATATTTTGCTCAATTGACAGAATAGGCAGCCATTTGGAAATAGCAATTGTGTATATAGCCTATAAAATGTATGCCTTTAAGCCATTTGTTATTTTAATTTTTTGTCATTAAAACGACCATATAATTGACAGATTTTTTTACTTTGGTGCTTTAAAATGCTGTGTTTTGCACACTACTGCTTATGTTAAATGTCAGATCTTTGCATCTAGTTTCTAACCTGTGTCTTTAGGGAACATTGCTGCCTAATGTGATCACAAAATGAATCTTCTTGCATGGATTCTGGTTGATCATAGATTGTCCATAGTGATCGCAGTGGTTGACTGTGGTCAATAAAGTTTTTTTCTCCCTAAATCTCTTAAAAGTAAGATTTTTTGACCTGGTTAGTTAAACTTAGTTCAATCAGACACGATGTCTCTTTGGAAGCTATGTTTTTTATGTGGCTGTCAGGTATGCAAAGATGAAAAAGCCATGGGCACCACTCTCTTAAGAGCTTGCACATCCTTCCATAGAGAAAAACACGCAAAAGAGATCCACTGCTGGACAGAATAAAACAAGTACTTTCATGGAGGTCCAAATAAATGAAGACAGAGAAAGGAGCAATTAAATCCAGAGGAAAAGAAGAGTGAGAAAGAAACAAAATGCTTAACTAGAGGGTTGCAATTTAACTCCAGAGCCTGAGAAAATCAAATATAAGGTAATATATTTTCTTGCCCTGAGAGACCACTTAAAACAAAACAAAACAATTGTGTGAAACAAGTTTGAAGTCTAAAGAAAACAGCGTAGGTTTTTCTTTCTTTTTTTTTTTTAATCCACAATCTCAAAGGAAGGTTGATAATATGTGTGGTATTTGTAGTCAATAACAGAAAAAAAAATTAATAAGGTAAAAGAGGGTATAATGAGGAGTTTTTCTAAATGTACCATATAACATTGTAGGTTTAAATACTTTCCATGAAAAAAATAGCATCAAATTATAGTACGCTTTTTAGTCAAAGCACCTGCTCTCATGATTTGTATATGGTTTACTGAATTCACACAACTCAAAGAGCTTTTTCAGGCACCACGTGGTTGTTCTTGTTTCATTGCACTGCAATGCTCAGTTGTCTGTACAAACCATAAAAGGTTCACAACGTCTAATAAATGGAGCTGATGAGATTTTTAAGGGCTTCACTCTCGCCATCCTAGTGCTATGTAACAAAGTGTGTAAAATGTAAGAATTTGTTTTTTCTCTTTTAAGAAATGTTGGGGAACCTTTGAGTGTATCACAGCAGCACTGGGAGGATGCAGTGTGAAACTCAGTTGCTGGGAAGTAGAAGGTGAGGGATACATTGACACCCACCAATTTAAAGCCATGTACCTTATCCTTCCAACTTTTATTTCAGGTTCAGGGGGTACATGTGCAGGTTTGTTACATGGATAAATTATCTGTCCTGGAGTTTTGTGTACAAATTATTTCTTCACCCAGGTAATGAGCATAGTACCCAATAAGTAGTTTTTCAGCCCTCACCCTTCTCCCACACTCCCACCTCAAGAAGACCCCAGTGTCTATTATTCCCTTCTTTGTGTTCATGTGTACTCAATGTTTAGTTCCCACTTATAAGTGAAGACATGTGATATTTGGCTTTCTGTTCCTGTGTTAATTTGCTTAGGCTAATGGTTAAACACAGAGTTACCATATGACAGCATTTCTCCCCAAGCAAATGAATATCTCCCCAAGAAAAATGAAAACGTATGTCAACACAAAACATGTACGTGAATGTTTAAAGCAGCTATTCATAATAGCCAAAATGTAGAAACAACCAAAATAGCCATCAACGGATGGATAGACACACAGAATATCCTAACAGTGGGATACTATTCAGTCATATCTAGGAATGTATTGATACATGCTACAACATGGATGGACTTTGAAAACATGCTAAGTGAAAGAAGGCAGTCACAAAAGACCACATATTACATAACTCCATTGATATAAATGTCCAGATTAGGCAAATATAATAGAGACCGAAAGGAGATTGGTAGTTGACTGGAGTGAGGTGTGGGAGGAGGAGAAATAGAGAATGACTGCTAACGGCATGAGTGATGAAAAAGGCCTGGAAGTAGATAGTGGTGATGCTTGCACAACCTTGTGAATACACTAAAACCCACTGAAGTGTACACTATAAAATGGTGAACTACATGGTATGTGAATTATAGCTCAATAAATCTGTTTAAAAAATAATAAATGGGAAATGAGAAGGAAAGAAAGAAAAGTAAAGGCAGATGCTTTTTGCTTTTGCCCTGAGGAAAGCACACTGGCTGGCTCTAGTGGGAGAAGGGGCCTCTTCTGTCCCTCATCCAGACACTCACCTTAGTTCAATCTTCTTTGTCTTTGGAGAAGCCCTGGGTCTGGCTGAGGACAGCAGTTCACAGAATTCCCTCTACAGTTCCCTCTACAGGCTGGCTGGCCACTAAGTAAATGGAGGGGTGTGTGTGTACAGGCCTGTGTCTAGTGTTTCCTTGGCCACACATCCTTTTGGACTCACCCTCATCTTTCCTGAACTCCAGTATAGCACTAATGTGACACACAGTGCCCATCTCTTTTCCCAGCTGTCTGCATGGCTCCTTCTCCAAGAGTGAAGGGGGGAGCATGCTTATTATACAGATAGAGTCGATTGATTTCCATTCAGTGTGAGTCATGTTCACTTTAATTGGTACATATTCAATGTCCATTCTACTAAGACAGTCAGTATGCTCTTTTGATGAATTGCTTTTAATTTTTCTCTGGCAGTTTGTGGATAGATTCTCAAAGGTGATATTACCTTGTTCATCTAAAACTGGAAATTCTAGATTTATAGCCACTGGCAATGTTCTGACATTAAATTAAACTCATTTGAAGAAATATAATACTAACGTTTGAAATTCTCTATGCCAGTTTCTGTATTTCTCTAATTAAAGACAGTAATATGTAGAAAGATACTAATAAAACACAGAGTCAGGGGAAATGACCATTCAATTGATAAGTGAGTTTGTATCTAAGGTTGAATTATAGTGGTTAGAATTGAATTACGAAGAGAAGATTTAAGAGTGGGTTTTAAGGCGCCATTTGTAGTTGAGACAAATGTTTTCCACTACAATTTTATTTAAGAATTAAATTTTTCATTCAGTAGCATAATCACAAAAACAAACCAATTTATCAGGATAGTGTGAAAAATATTAGTCAAACACTGATGGCTTACAAAGATTTTTTTCTCCCACTTTTGTTTTAAACAACTGAATAGAAGTAAGTAAACTTATTGTTAATTATTTGTCTGGGAAACATTTGTAACTTACATAGATTCTATCTACAATCAATTTTATTATCTGATTAGAGGATTTTAAATTTCAAAGAAATATTAAAATTATCTAACTTAACAGCACAGCAAGTAAGAAAGATGTAACTAATATCAGGTCTCTTGAATCCCACAATTTCCACTATGTAATTTATAAGGCTATTTATTACATGTTTTAAATTAATCCTTTTGTAATATTTTACTTGATACATTGAGCTTTTGCATTTCTTTAGAAACCTGCTATATTCTCTAAACAAGAAAGCCAAATGCTGTTATATGTTAATTCAACATGTATTTATCACATTACTACAAGACAAACCCCTAGCTTTACAGAATTTATGCACACTAGGGAGCAAGACCAAAAAGAAAAGAAAAGAAAAAATGCATTATATGCCTGTATCAAAGTATCTTATGAAAAAGAAAAGAGAAAAGCAGGCACTTACAGTGGAGCATGATAGATGATAAAATATAAAGATCATCATATAGCATTTTGATTGCAAAGAAAGGGCACAGATCAAACTTTGGATGTGGTGGGTGCCATATAATGGGGTTAATTTTAACTTGAGTTCTAAATGATTAGTTGTTACCATAGTGAAGAAGGATGGAAATATGTTCCAGAATTAGTGAAGGAAGTGTGGAACAGAGTATACAAAGGCTCAGAAGCAAACTGTGCAGTACTTTTGTTTCCATGGGGTGCTAGAAGACTGATTTTGCTGAAGCTGAGTTTGTTAAAGCTGGGTGAATACTAAGATATATGAATAGAGAAGTAAGCAGGGGTCAGATAATACTTGGACTTAAAACTGAGGGAAATAGAGATCTGTTGAAGGGTATTAAGTAGAATGTACAAAATTCACTCTGATTTGGAGGGCAGGGACAGACACCCCTGTGGCCAGGGTGATTATTTTACTATGTGATGTTCTTGCTTAAAATCATACAATGGCTCCCATTCTCCCTAGGACAGAATGTAATATCCTGATAAAGTTTACAGGAATCTGCCTTGGTTTCTTCCACTCTGATGACAACAGCTACACTGGAACAGACTATTTCATTCTAAGAAGACTGGCCTCCAGAACATTGAAAATGCTGTTTCTGACCTGGGACACTTCTCCTTTTCCTCTTTGTCTGGCCAACTCCTCCACATACTTTAGATTTCAGCGCAGATGTTGCTTCCTCCAGGAAGCCTTCCTTGAAATAACCTACTCTAAGCTGGTTTTTATCTACTCTGTGTCTTTGAGATTCTCTGTACCATCACTATTATACCATTGTCATCCTATAGTATGATTGCATTAAAATGTTTGTGTTCTTAAAAAAATTGAACATGAATAAGATATGTGTATGTGTGTATAATATAGGAAATAAGAATAACCACACCAGCACTAATGAAAGCAGAAGTTATGATTGCAAATTTACTTGTTTCTCTCCCCAGTGGTTATAAACTATGCTCAGTAAATGTTTGTTGAATAAATGAATTGGGATGGTATAAAACTGAGGCAGTGAGTTCAACAGGAAGCAGTTACAGATATTTGTAGGAACTGACCAAGGGAATGGCAGTGGAGTTGGATAGAAGTGGATGGGGTCTCAAGCTATGAAGGAGATAAAGGGGAAGAATCGACTGGACACAGATATCAGTTGTAAGGGATTATGGCAGAATGTTGGTTGACCTTCAGGTTTCTGGCTTGCACAATGGATTGATGATGGTATTAGGCACTGAAATGGGGACCTCAGAGGCCAAGTACTTATGGAGGGTCAAGATGAAGACTTTGGCTCTATGTGTCTTGCATTTTGGGGCCTGTAGGATATACAAGTAGAACTGTGCTCAAGACTATGGCAGGTGGGTCTGGAGCTTCACAGGATAATTTGGCTAGAAATGTGTGAGTTATTGGCATAGGAATGTCAGGGGAAGTATAATAGAGTGGTAGAAAAGAGCTGAGGTGGCAACCCTACTGAACAAAGCATTAGGATTGGGAGAAGAAGAATAATGAAACTACAAAGGTGCAATGAGGTAATAATAACAGTTAACATTTATTGTGGGTTTACTATGTCCTACAGACACTTAAACCCACAATAAATCCAGGCAAGTCCTGTGTCATTTAATCAATCTGACAATACAATGAAGTCTATTACATCCCTATTTCTCACTTTCTCTTTCATATTTTATAGCTTTCAAATTAATATATTCACATACAACATTCAAAATGATATAAATATATAATTTAGAAGATAAATATCCTATGTAATCCACTCTATAAAACAACTTTTGGTAAAGCATAGTGCATATTTCTTTAATTTTGCCTACTCTGAACATTTATATTGCTATCAACAATTCTTTTTTTTTTAATGTGTTATTTTGGGCAACTTACTTTTTCCAAATGATCATAACTGATTTCCTTTATACTTTAAAATAGTTGCCTGGAATTCCCCTGTATGGATACAATAAGCAATCTGCTGCAATGAGTAATATTTACAGTGAAGAAAGTTAGGCTTATAGGGAAAATTAGGTTTAGAGTAAAATTGTAAAGAGAAAGTGGCTAATTGGTGAAAACTGGACTCAGAAAAGCCAAGTAAATATCATATTGTGGAAGCCTAAAGATGACAAGATAATGTGACAAGAAAGATGGGAAGATTAACAGTGCAAATGCTCAGCGATTAAGTAAGATTTAGCAAGAATTTGTTAGTGACAACTACTAATGCATGGCTTCAATGTTAACGGAGTGAGTCAGAGGACACAGCTGAGGATGAATGGAGGGTGGCTAAGAGGAGATGTTACTTTAAACAGCTTTTTCAAAATGTTGAAGAGGAGACGAAGAATGAGGATGGTAGTTAGAGAGGTTTATGGGGTTGAAGAAGCCTACAATCAATACCATTTTTTACAGATGATAGATTTTGAAAATCTAAAGCCATTTCAATAGCTCATCAAAACATCTTCCTTTGATTTGTAATTAAATAACTATAAAAGCATCAGAGAAGAGGGGCGATCACATTCCTAAAGATAAAAATTTATACTAAATAAATGTGTAGCACGTAATTTGGCCTGTATATAAGGTCACCATAGTATATGTATGAATGAAGTAGCTATGATTTTTCATCTTTCTTAAAAGCTTACTATGAAACATTTAAGATAGAAACAGATACAAAGAGTATTACAAGAAAATCTTTATACTCACCCTACATCCTAAAATATAAAATAGTGCCAGATCATTTAAACCCTCATGGGATAACTCTTTTATCTTATCCCTCTGTCTTTACCTGAATAGTTACAAATATTATGAATTTAGCGAATCCTCTGCAAGAGGTCAGTTTTTTTTTCTAAGAATATATTCTCATTTTGTCATTTTCATGGAGGTAGGATGACAGCTAATAAAAATTAGTATAATGTTGTTCTACTATTTGACAGTATAAAAATCTCAATTTTGAAACAGTTCAAAAATATATTTTATACAAGTAGTAAAATGAACTTTAGAGGGTGGCTTAAGCCATAACAACTAAGTGAATTTTTATGTCAACCGGACAGTCTGGGCATTAATGTGAAAGACAAAGCTTATGATTTAAGCTAAAATATTTGCTTTGTCTGATGCTCCTAATTTCGTATCATTTCCTTATTCTCATGGTATCTAATATAACATTTTATGCTCAAAATGACATTTTCCAGGGTAAGTCTCTCAGGCTGAAGCAATTCCTTCTGAACTATGCTATTCATCTATTGGAAGGGACATGTCGAGTCTCACAGCAAAGTTAGGGCAGTGGACCAGGGATGTGAGATGGAGGGAGGCTAAGACAGGACATTATTCCAGACATATCAGTAGATATTTAAGTTCATTGCTCTTCCACAAAGTACTCCTTGTCCATCCAGTGATTTAAATCCAGGTCACATTGAGATCACTCTGCCACCAGAGTACAGCTAACTATTTCCTGTAAGAGCGGAGTGTTCAGTTGTGCATAGAGATGTCAGTAGTTTTGAGTGTTCAAAGAGAAATAGTACAATTTTATGTAAAGAAAGAGGAACTTTTTTTTACCAGATTACTTTTACTTTCTCTTTGTTTTTTAAAAAAATTCTCAATTATACCTTGATTTATTGATCATTTTAAAAACAAATATAGCTCTCGATGCTGTAAGACACCCATTTATTTTCTTTGGAGAAATACAATTTTTAGTCTCATAACTATAACAAATCAAATCGATAGACACTTAGAGTCATATCTTTTGAAACAAGTTTGTGTCCAGTACCGGAGAGTCAATGATGAACAAGGTTCTATTCTTTTCTTGAAGAAGCTGAAGGATCTTGTGGATGCAAGACAGACATAGTTGTGCCTGCTGTTTTTAGTTCATTTAAGCCACAGGATATCTCAAAGGCTGGAATTATACTCAAAGACACATGTAACTCAAACGTCCACGAAATTTCTCTGAACTTCCAATTCTTCACCTCCTTGGTTCCCTTTCATGAGACAGGGGAATGTCTTAGAGTCTCTGCCCTACTTCCAAAAGTAGTTAGGGCAATCACATAAGATGGGTCAGATAAGTCAAATGACTGCTTCCCAGCCTGCAGGCATCCTTATTGAGCTCCTATGCAAAGTCCCTCTGGAGTCCACTCCTTATATTCCACCCACTACCACTATCCCATAGTCTAGCAGGCTACTCTCCTGCAGACATTTGATCATCTGACCTGGCAGGTGCAGTGCCATCACCATGAGGATGATGTTGCTAACCAGCTCCTTCCTGCTTCCATTTCTAGTATTGATAAAAGAGGCCCTGTCTTTTACTGTTAAATGTTACTCTTCTTTCTTCCCCTCTGTAGCCAACTGACTTTTCAACCAGGGTTGCTGGAGAAAAGATACGATGTCTAATTAGATTTAAGTTTAACTTTAAATTTTTAAATTATGTCTCTAATATTGCATAGTCCATACTTATTTTGAAAATTTTTGTTTGTTGTTTATCTAAAATTCAAATTTATCTGAGCATCTTCTTTTTCCTGCGTAAATCCTCCAACATGGCATTCAATAGCCCAGAGCCCAAGTGACCACTAAGCTTTTGGTCGTGGGATGTTAGTCCAGCTCTATCAAGTTTACAGCTCCCTGTGCTGGGAAGCCACACCAAATCTTGAACTGTAACTCTGGGGCTGTGAGCATGGAGGAATGGATGGCACTGGGAGAATGGATATGCTGATTGTAGGAGACAGTGAGTGGATCACTTTGCATGAAGTAGGCAGTATTTTGAAGATTTGGGTTGAAAATTTTTTCTATAAGTTGTTTTATAGTTAAGAAATTATTGCAGCCTTATTAAGTCAATTATTCTTTGACTAATTTTGAAATCATGATGCCAGTATTTTATTTCTTCTATTTGACAATAAATATATAACAAACTCTTTTGCTATTCCCTTGTACTGCCTTTCAGCAAACTTGAAGCTATCTTTAGTGTCCTGTTTTGTAGCTTTTAGAGGATTACAAGATCAGAAGAAAGAAGTAAGATATGATTTTCAGGGATTATTATTCTAGCAATAGATAATTTGAAAGGACTAGATGCAGAAAATTGCTACTAACAGTTTAATGATTTAATATTCTTATTATGTTTTGTCTCATTGTGAGAGTTGCTTATATCTTTTTCAGAGTGACTTGATAGGCATATGCTACAAAGTTGCTGAGTTGTAGGAAAGTATTTATAGTGAAGATGCCTCTTAATTTTTGCAACCAAGCAGTATGAAAATGGACCGCTCACAGTTTGACCAAGCTGCTGGCCGCTTTTACAGGGCAGAGTATCCTGGTCAGTATATTATGAGTGGTTTTCACTCTGGTGGTCAACAACAAATGATCCATAGTTTCTTCAAACGTGGAGATAAACCTACATAATTCAGAGGGTGGAAAACAAAGTCCTATTCTGGCCTATCCATTGCATATTCTTAAATTACAGTTTTGGTGAACTGAGGAACAATGTTTGTTGGATAAAGAAGGAAGGATGGAGCCCTAAAATTTCTCTAAGATGCTGCTAGGCTTCAGGTGTTTATATGGTGGGGATTGCATTCTTAGGTCACAGAATTAGAGGAGAGACCTGCTGTCAACCATGATTCTAGTAGCAGTAGATTCTGGGACCTGGCTGCATGTTCAGGTAGACAGGGTGCAGCCTCCAGTCCCCATCAGGGTGGAAGAACATTCTGAAGTCGGTGGGTTTGTGGTTAGCTTCTGGAAAAATTGTCTATTAATAATGGGTGCCTAATTTCAGATACAAGGCAATGTTCCAGCTGTTACAGGTAGATAGGCATGAGTAGAACAGCAGAGGTCTCTCCCCACACCCACCAGAAATGTCGGGTGATGATTCAGCAATTATTGCATTGCTTCTCTCAAAGTGATACATTGTCAGCCTGCACCAGTGACAGGCGAGTTCCTGATTGTCCACACCTGTTAACATTAAAGTGTTAATTAAAGGCAGACCCCAGGGAAAAGCAACTTCCTGGGCATGGACATTAAGAGACAAAAATGGCCGGGCCTGGTGGCTCATGCCTGTAATCCCAGCACTTTGGGAGGCCAAGGCGGGTGGATCATGAGGTCAGGAGATGGAGACAGTCCTGGCTAACACGGTGAAACCTGTCTCTACTACAAATACAAAAAATTAGCCAGGCGTGGTGGCGGGCGCCTGTAGTCCCAGCTACTCGGGAGGCTGAGGCAGGAGAATGGCGTGAACCCGGGAGGCGGAGCTTGCAGTGAGCCAAGATCCTGCCACTGCACTCCAGCCTGGGCAGCAGAGCGAGACTCCGTCTCGAAAAAAAAAAAAAAAAAAAGACAAAAATGGTGAAGTATGATCTTCCAGGTAGGTTCCACCAGAAAAAGGAAGAAAGCCTTAGATGGTCACGTGTACAACTCCCTAAACACACTGCACGTGCTCACTTCCCAAGGGTAAGGAGGACTCTGCTCATGCGGGCAGCCCACCCTAAGCGAAGAATCATGGGAAAGAGGTGAGCTTATAAAGGTCCTAGGATCATGGTTAAATGGGGACTTGACCTCTCTCTTTAACCTTCACATGCCCTCTTGAATCTCTTCTAAGTGAACTTTCCTTTCTTTCCTGTTCTAATGCCTTTTAAATTAACTTCCACTTCTGCTCTGAAACTTGCCTCTGTCTGGTCTCTTTTTCTGCTTTGTGCTTCTTCAGTTGAATTTTTTCTTCTGAGGGGGCAAAGGCTGAAGTTGCTGGAGAGCCTATGGATTTGCTGCCGGTAACTTGGAGTAACTTAGATCTCTTCCACCACTAACACAGTCACAGGGAGAGCAACCAGAAGGAGCAAATCAGAATAACAGGTGGCTAGCCAGTGTGTAAGGGTCTGGGGCATGCTTCACAGCTCAGTCCTGTGGATTGAGTCCACTGTGGGTCAGATATAAGGAAGTTTTCAGGTGCTGTTGGGGGAGGTCAGTGTGAGTGCACAACTTGAGCATCCAGAAACTGGAATGATCCCCAAAATCTCAGGTTTGAAGAATGAGAGAGGAGTAGCTTCGGCAGAAGGTTTTATGTAATGTCAAGAGTTGCAAACTGGTAGCCAAGCAGATGGTTTGGTTGCCTGTGCAGTATGAAAAGAAATCAGAACATGTGGAGGCTGAGCATGTTCTCTAGTTTGCCACAATTACCATCAGTTCTTGTGGCCTCACATAGGCAGCTTCATATCTTCAGATGCCCTGCTGGGCCCTTAATGACACTGGGGACCTTTGGTTTACACATCACTTTTGTTTTGGTTGATCTGGAAAGCAAAGAAGGACCAGAATCTTCTAATGCAGCCAACACTGAATTCAGCTATGCAAACCTGGGTCAGTCAGAGGCAGAGAAAGTAAAGTTGCTGCTGACACTGCTAAAGGAAAAACTGTCATCGAAAGTACTGTTATCAAAGGCATCTAATTATTCAGACACAGAAACTAGCTAAGCTTCAATTCAATTGATGAAGCCAAGGCCAGTAGCTCTTAATTACAAGGAGCTGACACACACACTTTGTGAATGATCAATTGTGGTGTATTGCATATAATGTGTTGCCACTAGGACTTGAAGGACTGAAGTTTGAAAATTATTGACCTTTACACATAAAATCGACAGTAAAATTCCTGGTTATATTCTTATAACTCATTCTCTTTTTTCTGATATACTTCTTTGAGTGGAAAAATACTGGACAAGGCAAGCTTTCCAGGGATTAAACAAAACCTAAAGGCCTATTTTTCTCTGTGGGTTCATGGATGATGTCCTCACATGTGTTGATATGCTAAACATGTTGAGAAAACATAGTTTGAGTGGCTAAGAAAAACGGAGCTGCTCCTGAAGGGATGCTAAAGGATACCATTTTGGTATAACATTGATTTGAAAAGCCACAGTATCACTGGTAGTGGCTGGTCGCTATCCTGACCGGTTCTGTTTGAATTTATAGATATGTCCCCATCTTAAACTAGAAAACATGACTATAGCAATAAAATCCTAAAAATAAGCTTTTGGGAAATAAGCATCTATTAGATAATTTACCTGCAGTATATTCTACAGCAGTGAGCTGAAAATGAAGCAGAGGGGAAAGTTGCCTAGTACAAAGCCTGCATCATAACTGGTTCTCAACAAATATTTTGTGAAACAATAAACACATTAGTAAGGGACTGAAACTCCATTTGTATGTTAAAACAACATCTTTTTCAAATTTCATGTGAGGATTAACCCATAACTTATTTGAGTGATTTTTAAAGTGGCCTTTAACATATGGCAGCCAAAAAACGTATGAAGAAATGTTCAACATCACTAATCATCAGAGAAATGCAAATCAAAACTGCAATGAGATACCGTCTTACACAAGTCAGAATGACTTCTATTAAAAAATCAAAAAACTTAAGAGGCTGGCCAGGCTGTGGAGAAAAGAGAACATTTATACACTGTTGACGGGAATGTAAATTAGTAGAGCCACCATAAAAAGCAGCTTGGAGATTTCTCAAAGAACTTAGAACTATGATTTGATCCAGTAATCCCTTTACTGGGTATAAGCCCAAAAGAAAACAAATTGTTCTATCAAAAAGACCACGCATGTTCACCACAGCACTATTCACATTAGCAAAGACGTGGAATCAACCTAGGTGCCCATCAACAGTTAACTGGATAACAAAAATGTGGTGCATATACACCATGGAAGACTACACAGTCATAAAAAAGGACAAAATCATGTCCTTTGCAGCAACACGGATGCAGCTGAAAACCATTATCCCAAGCAAACTAATGCAGGAACAGAAAACCAAATACCGCCTGGTTCTCACTTATAAGTAGGAGCTAAATATTGAGTACTCATGGACATAAAGATGGAAACAATAGACACTGGGAACTACTAGACGGGGAGGAAAGAAGCGGGGAAAGGGTTGTAAAACAAACTATTGGGTACTATGTTCACAACCTGGGTGACTGGTCATTCATACCCCAGACCTGGGCATCACACAATACACTCATGTAACAAACCTACACATGTACTCCTTGAATCTAAAATAAAAGTTGAAATTATAAAATAAAATAAAATCTCCCCTCCTCCTAAAAAAGTGGTTTTTTAAAAATATGACTAAGGATGTTATCTTAACAACCCATCAATGAATATCCAACTGGACAGGCTCAAGGTCTTCTTGTACTGTATAAGCAACACTAGTTGCCTAGTAAGCCAGAAGATAAACAGTTTGGAAAGGCACATGAGTATCTGTGACTATTGCCAGAGAAAAGGTCAACCAATGGAAATCTAAGAGAAACAGTTTCAAAGGACTATTCAACTGAAGTGCCAAAGAAATCACAGCAATTGATCACACATCGACTCAAATGTCAAAAAGAATTACTTTAAATAATTTGAAATATTTTATTTGTAGATTATATGAAGTATTTCCATAAGGAAAACATAGCCTATATCTGGAACATACCACTTTTTTTTTCGCCTTCGTGAGTTTCACTTTTCTTCCACTTGTTTGCCTACTGGGTGGCCTTTTGAGTGCTTAATGCACACTAGACATGAGGCCTATGAGGCAGGACAAAGAGACATATGATTTCCAGGTTTCTGGAACCCTGGAAACAAACTTACTTGTGTTTGTGGTAAAAATCATACTTCCAACGCTTATCAAGTTTAGCTAATCATGTTCCACTAAAACAAAATCAGAATCATCAGGTCCTATTGGATGATTTTTAACAGATAGGATGCAATTACAAGATTGTCAATATTTTTGAGAAGAAAATGACTCCTGAGAAAATGAAAGGGGTTCAAGTTTGAACAGTTGGTAGGAAAATATGTTACAACTGAAATTACATGTCTTAAAACAAGAGCAACGAGGCAAAACTGACTTTGTTCTTATCTAGTGGTGAGACATCACCAACGGGGTGACATTTAGTCACAGGCATGTTTGCTGCCATTGACAGTCCTAGATATAACTGAATTCATTTAAGAAATGACAACTCTGGGAGAGTCAGCAAAATAGCAGTTTTCCACATGTTTATCTATTGAAGTATCTTCACCCTAAATAGATGCTTTATGGGGGTTAGCATTGCTCATACCAAGCTGCTGCCCAGGGAGTGAGCACATGGTTGCTGATTAAGTTAAAAACAGTTGAGCCTCTTATATATCCAACCAGAACTTCATCCGTTTTTGCCTGCACACGTGCACACACACAGTCATGCACACGTACCCCTCTCAAACCTGTTAGGGAGTATTTTTCTTTGAGGTGGCCCTTGATGATTATTTCAATCTAGTTCTACCTGTATAATTATGTTGGAACTATTGACCCATGGAATTAAGTGACTCAAGCAAATTATATCCTTTTATGAAAGCCCTTATTAAAAGTAGAGTGTAACATTGCAAAATAAAATAACCAAAAAAATTGACTTAATATGATCCATGAAATGAAAACTGTTAAAAATATTTGTATATAGTATGTCTTATAATTTTAGATAAAACTCTTCAGACTAATAAGATTTAATATAATCACCTCCTTATTACAGCTCAGAAAGAAAGGAGAGCACTACAATCTCCACTGCATCTAACCGGGTATCTGGAAAGCATTTCTATCACAAAGGGACTAGCTGGATCAATTGGCTATCACTGGCTTCTGTGAAGGTGTGATATTATTGATAACACAACACTAAGATGAAATGAGATTTTGCCAACTATATCTGCAACATCTATTCTATGCAGTGCTTTTAAAGGCAATACCCTCATTTTAATTAACTTATCTGTAGTTCTACCTAGATATGAAAAAAAAGGAAGAAGAAACTGACGTAAACATCTGGAGGTAAGCACTTTGCCTATTAAATACAACAATGACAATGGTGATTGTGAATTATTCTGATGACAATGATAATTTCCAAATTATTATTTCATTGTTCTTAATGTTCCCCTGTGTTTAGGAGACTACTAGTTATGAACTCTCTAATACAGCAGGCCTCCCCAGATGCAGAAGCCACTATGCTCCATGTACAGCCTGCAGAACCATGAGCCAAATAAACCTCTTTGCTTTATAAATTACCCAGCTTCAGATATTTCTTAATAGCAATGCAAGGAATGGACTAATACACAAAACTATAGTACTCAATCAGGATATTGATATTGATACAGAAAAGAGTCTGTTCTGAGCATTTGCCAACTACATCTGCAACATCTATTCTATGCAATGCTTTTAAAGGCAATACTCTCATTTTTAATGTAACTTATCTGTAGTACTACTTACAGATAATTTTGGGATCTGTTGTCATTTGTCTGTGTGTGATACTTGAAGATGATGAAACAAATAAGCACTGAAAAAATAAATGCTAAAGGGAAAATTTAGAAATATGTTTTAATGCTTAAGTAAAAAGCTTTGTTGTTGTTATGAACATGTGAGCTTCCGGTAGTGATTTAATAATGCAGACATAATTTCTTTTGGTGAAATAGTTTCTAAATTATACATTAAATATAGACACAGATGTAGCAGAAAGAAGATTCGAAAGTCTTTGATGCCTTTAGATATATTAGGGGAACTGGTCTTTTGGGGTCTGAGGGTGAAATAGAGCTTATAGGAAGTAAGTTGTCTTTAAAAGGGCAACATAATGGATCCCTATGTTGACTTTTTTAGTCAGACTCTTTTTTGTATCAATATTCTCATTGTAACACTGTACCATAGTTTTGTGTATTACTCCATTCTTACATTGCTGTTAAGAAACACCTGAAACTGGGTAATTTATAAAGAAAAGAGGTTTAATTGGCTCATGGTTCTGCAGGCTGCCTAGAAAGCATAGTGGGTTCTGCTTCTGGGGAGTCCTTAGGAAACTTACGATCATGGTAGAAGGCAAAGAGGGAGTAGGCATCTTACACAGCAGGAACAGGAGCAAGAGTTGAGGGAAGGTACTACACGCGTTTGAACGACCAGACCTCATGAGAACTTACTATCATGAGGACATTACCAAGAGGGATGGTGCTAAACTGTTCATGAGAAACGTGGTCCCATGATCCAATCACCTCCCATCAGGCCCCACCTCCAACACTGGGAATTATAATTTGACGTGAGATTTAGTGGGGACACAGATCTGAACCATATCATTTTGTAAGATGTTACCATTGGGAGAAACTGGGCTAAGGGTCCATGGAGTCGCTCTGTATTATTTCCTAAAACTGCAGTGAATGTACAGTTTTCTCAAAATAAAAAGTTAAATAATAATTCCTAAATTTAAAGTTTAATTTAATTATGTTTTAAACCTATAAATCTTTTCTCATACTTTTGGGATCAGCTGTCACTTGTCTGTGGGTGATACTTGCAGATGATGAAATAAATAAGCACTGAAAAAATAAATACTAAAGGGAAAATTTAGAAATGTGTTTCAATGCTTAAGTAAAATTATTTGTTGTTGTTATGAACATGTGAGCTCCCAGTAGTGATTTAATAATGCAGATATAGTTTCTTCTGGTGGAATAGTTTCTAAATATCTTCTAATTATACACATAAATATGGATAGAGATATAAAATTATAATCTCTGACATTAAAAAATCCTCTACCAGTAATAAGAAAATTTGGAAACTGGCTTAAGTTATTCTTCAGTCTTGTAAGAAAAAAGAATCAGTTTAGGTATTTTGGAGATCAATCCTCTGGCTGAGGATGTCTAGAAGTGACAATAAGTATAAGCAAATTCTGCCTAGAGATATCAGACAGTTACTATGGTAGAATCAGAGGAAGTTTAGATGAGGTAAGTCCAGTACTTGGGGCTACTTTTTTCAGTGGAGATACTTTATGATTGAAGAGAGAGCAACTTAGAGTTTGAGAGGCTGACCACTACTTTTGACATCTTTGAAGTTCTACGGGATTGGTTAGAGTCCATAACTCATAAAGGGGAAGTGTATTAGAAGCATCTTAGTCTGTTGTGCCTGCTATAATAAAAAAATACCATAAGCTGAATGGCTTATAAACAGCAGAAATTTATTTCTCACAGCTCTGGAGACTGAGAGGTCCAAGATCAAGCCACCAGCAGATATGTCTGGTGAGGGCTGCTTCCTGTTTCACTGATAGCCATCTTCTTGATGTAATCTCACATGGTTGAAGCGGTGAACAAACTCTCTGGGGTTTTGAAATATCAGCACTAATCCCCCCATTCATGAGAACTCTGCCCTCATGATCTAATCACCTCCCAAAGGCCCCACCTCCAAACACTATTACATTATGAATTAGGATTCTACTTATGAATTTTGGAGGGAACAAAGCGTGCAGCTCATTTCCAAACAGTTTTATTCCCTGAAATGGGATTGAGTTGATCTGCATTTCTAGTACCCAATTGCCCATGAGTGCTAGTGTTTTTAGGTGGCTGATAGAAGCCAATGTAAAAACTCTTTGGAGACAGATAATATCATCCTAGGCCTCAATTTATTTTGTAAGTGTAAGGACAAGTATATAATAAAAAGATAGAGCCATACACTGAAAAAGATAATGCAATACAACTTAAAATAAACACAATCAATAGATAAAATAATAAATAATAGAACATATCTACCAGGGACCCAAATATTAGAGTTATTAAAGACTTTAAAATAACTGATTATTATGTGCAAGGATATAAAAATATTTTTTGTGCATATATGTCTGTGCATGTATCAAGTAGAAATCCTAAAATCGGAAAACACAATAATTAAAATTAACAATTCAATGAGGCTGGGTGCTGTGGCTCACGCCTGTAATCCCAGAACTTTGAGAGGTCAAGGTGGGTGGATCACGAGGTCAGGAGTTCAAGAGCAGCCTGGCCAAGATAGTGAAACCCTGTCTCTATTAAAAATACGAAAAAATTAGCAGGGCATGATCGCAGGTGCCTGTAATCCCAGCTACTCAGGGGGCTGAGGCAGGACAATCGCTTGAATCCAGGAGGTGGAGGTTGCAGTGAGCCTAGTTTGCACCACTGCACTCCAGCCTGGGTGACAGAGCAAGACTCCATCTCAAAAAAAAAAAGAATTCAATGAAGAGACAGCGAAGACAGAGAACAGCAAATTAGAAAGAGCTGAAGAGTGATTTAATAAACTGAAAGCACATTAGACAGAAAATATCCAAAATAAAAGATGGAGAGAAAAAATGATGAAAAATGCACATGATACAGGATGAGATATAGAGAAAATAGTGAGGAGATACAATATGTGTATAACTGGAATTCCAGAAGCAGACGAGAAATAAAATGAAGCAGAAGTAATATTTGAAGATGTCAAGACTTAGATCACTCCAAAACAGATAAGAGCCATCAAGATAGAGTCAAGAAGCCCTATAAATGCCAGGAAGAATTTTTAAAATGTATAAAAAGTAATAAAGGAAAGAAAGAGTGATAAAAGAGTAAAGTAATAGGTGGTTGGCAAGATAGCCGAATAGGAAGAGCTGTGGTCTGCAGCTCCTAGTGAGATCAACCTAGAAGGCACGTGATTTCTGCATTTTCAACTGAAGTACCTGGCTCATCTCACTGTGACTGTTTAGACAGTGGGTGCAGCCCACAGAGGGCAAGCCAAAGCAGAGTGGGGTGTTGCCTCACCCGGAAAACACAAGGGGTTGGGGAACTCCCTCCCCTAGCCAAGGGAAGCCGTGAGGGACTGTGCCATGGGGAAACAGTGCATTCTGGCTCAGATACTACACTTTTTCCACTGTCTTCACAACCTGCAGACCAGGAGATTCCCTCGGATTCCTACACCGCCAGGGCCTTGGGTTTCAAGCACAAAACTGAGTGGCCCTTTGGGCAGTAACCAAGCTAGCTGCAGAAGTTTCATTTGTTTGTTTGTTTTTTCATATCCCAGTGGCACCTGGAATGCCAGTGAGACACAACTGTTTACTCCACTGGAAAGGGGGCTGAAGCCAGGGAGCCAAGTGGTCTAGCTCAGTGGATCCCACCCCCACAAAGCCCAGCAAGCGAATATCCACTGGGTTGAAATTCTCACTGCCAGGACAGCAGTCTGAAGTCTACCTGGGACACTTGAGCTTGGTGCAGGGAGTGGCATCCACCATTACTGAGGCTTGAGTAGGCAGTTTTCCCTTCAGAGCATAAACAAAGCCCCCAGGAAGTTCGAACTGGGTGGAGCCCACCGCAACTCAGCAAAGCTGCTGTAGCCAGACTGCCTCTCTAGATTCTTCCTCTCTGGGCAGGGCATCTCTGAAAGAAAGGCAGCAGCCCCAATCAGGGGCATATAGATAAAACTCCCATCTCCCTTGGACAGAGCACCTGGGGGAAGGGGCAGCTGTGGGTGCAGCTTCAGCAGACTTAAAGTTCCTGCCTCCCAGCTCTGAAGAGAGCAGCAGATCTCCCAGCACAGTGCTCGAGCTCTGCTAAGGGACAGACTGCCTCCTCAAGTCGGTCCCTAACTCCTGTGTCTTCTGACTGGGAGACACCTCCCAGCTGAGGTCGACAGACACCTCATGTAGGAAAGCTCCAGCTGGCATCCGGCGGGTGCCTCTCTGGGACGAAGCTTCCAGAGGAAGGAACAGGCATCAGTCTTTGCTGTTCTGCAGCCTCCACTGGTGATACCGAGGTAAACAGTGTCTGGAGTGGACCTCCAGCAAACTCCAGCAGACCTGCAGCAGAGGGGCCTGACTGCTAGAAGGAAAACTAACAGACAGAAAGAAATAGCATCAACATCAACAAAAAGGATCTGAACATCACCAAAAACCCCATCCGAAGGTTACCAGCGTCAAAGATGAAAGGTAGATAAATTGACAGAGATGAGGAAAAACCAGCGCAAAAAAAGGCTGAAAATTCAAACTACCAGAATGCCTCTTCTCCTCCAAAGGATCACTACTCCTTGCCAGTAAGAACAAAACTAGACAGAGAATGAGTTTGACGAATGGACAAAAGTAGGTTTCAGAAAGTGGGTAATAACAAACTCCTCCAAACTAAAGGAGCATATTCTAACCCAATGCAAGTAAGCTAAGAACCTCGAAAAAAGGTTGGAGAAATTACTAACTAGAATAACCAGTTTAGAGAAGAACATAAGTGACCTGATGGAGCTGAAAAACACAGCACGAGAACTTCGTGAAGCATACACAAGTATTAATAGCCAAATCGATCAAGCAGAAGAAAGGATATCAGAGACTGAAGATCAACTTAATGAAGTAAAGCATGAAGACAAGATTAGAGAGGAAAGAATGAAAAGGAATGAACAAAGCCTCCAGGAAATATGGGACTGTGTGAAAAGACCAAACCTACGTTTGATTGGTGTACCTGGAAGTGACGTGGAGAACGAAACCAAGTTGGAAAACACTCTTCAGGAAATTATCCAGGAGAACTTCCCCAACCTAGCAAGACAGGCCAACATTCAAAGTCAGGAAATATAGAGAACACCACAAAGATACTCCTCAAGAAGAGCAACCGCAAGACACATAATCATCAGATTCACCAATGTTGAAATGAAAGAAAAAATGTTAAGGGCAGCCAGAGAGAAAAATTGGCATATCCACAAAGGGAAGCCCATCAGACTAACAGCAGATCTCTCTGCAGAAACCCTACAAGCCAGAAGAGAGTGGGGGCCAATATTCAACATTCTTAAAGAAAAGAATTTTCAACCCAGAATTTCATATCCAGCCAGACTAAGCTTCATAAGCAAAGGAGAAATAAAATCTCTTACAGACAAGCAAATGCTGAGAGGTTTTTTACCCCCAGGCCTGCATTACAAGAGCTTCTGAAGGAAGCACTAAATATGGAAAGGAAAAACTGGTACCAGCCACTGCAAAAACATACCAAATTGTAAACACCATGTGACACTATGAAGAAACTACATCAACTAATGGGCAAAATAACCAGCTACCATCATAATGACAGGATCAAATTCACGCATAACAATACTAACCTTAAATATAAGTGGGCTAAATGCCCCAATTAAAAGACACAGACTAGAAAATTGGATAAAGAGTCAAGTCTGATCGGTGTGCTGTATTCACGAGACCCATCTCGCATGCAAAGACACACATAGGCTCAAAATAAAGGGATGGAGGAATATTTACCAAGCAGATGGAAAGAAAAAAAAAATCAGGGGTTGCAATCATAGTCTCTGATAAAATAGACTTTAAACCAACAAAGATTAAAAAAAAACAAATAAGGGCATTACATAATGGGAATGGGACCAATGCAACAAGAAGAGCTAACTATCCTAAATATATATGCAACCAATACAGAAGCACTCAGATTCATAAAGCAAGTTCTTAGAGACCTACAAAGACACTTAGACTCCCACACAATAATAGTGGGAGACATTAACACCCCACTGTCAATATGAGACAGATCAACGAGACAGAAAATTAACAAGGATATTCAGGACTTGAACCCAGCTCTGGACCAAGAGAACCTAATAGACATTTACAGAACTCTCCACCCCAAATCAATAGAACTTACGTTCTTCTCAGCACCACATCGCACTTATTATAAAATTGACCACATAATTGGAAGTGAAACACTCCTCAGCAAATGCAAAAGAACAGAAATCATAACAAACAGTCTCTCAGACCACAGTGCAATCAAATTAGTACTCAGGATTAAGAAACTCACTCAAAACCACATAACTACATGGAAACTGAACAACCTACTCCTGAATGACTACTGGGTAAATAACAAAATTAAGGCAGAAATAAATAAGTTCTTTGAAACCAATGAGAACAAAGAACCAATATACTAGAATCTCTGAGACACAGCTAAAGCAGAGTATAGAGGGAAATTTATAGCACTAAATGCCCACAGGAGAAAGTGGGAAAGATCTAAAGTCAACACCCTAACATCACAATTAAAGGAACTAGAGAAGCAAGAGCAAACAAACTGAAAAGCTAGCAGAAGACAAGAAATAACTAAGATCAGAGCAGAACTGAAGGAGACAGAGACACGAAAAACCCTTTAAAAAATCAATGAATCCAGGAGCTGGTTTTTTGAAAAGATTAACAAAACAGATAGACTGCTAGCCATACTAATAAAGAAGAAAAGAGAGAAGAACCAAATAGACACAATAAAAAATGATAAAGGGGCGATCACCACTGATCCCACAGAAGTACAAACTACCATCAGGGAATACTATAAACACCTCTACTCAAATAAACTAGAAATTCTAGAAGAAATGGATAAATTCCTGGATACATACAGCCTCCCAAGACTAAACCAGGAAGAAGCTGAATCCCTGAATAGACCAATAATCGGTTCTGAAATTGAGGCAGTAATTAATATCCTACCAAACAAAAAAAGCCCAGGACCAGATGGGTTCAAGCCGAATTCTACCAGAGTTACAAAGAGGAGCTGGTACCGTTCCTTCTGAAACTGTTCCAAACAATAGAAAAAGAGGGACTCCTCCCTGTCTCATTTTATGAGGCCGCATCATCCTGATACCAAAACCTGGCAGAGACACAACAACAACAACAAAAAGAAAACTTCAGGGAAATATCCCTGAAGAACGTCAATGAAAAAATCCTCATTAAAATACTGACAAATCGAATCCAGCAGCACATCAAAAAGCTTATTCACCATGATCAAGTTGGCTTCATCCCTGGGATGCAAGGCTGGTTCAACATACACAAATCAATAAATGTAATCCATCACATAAACAGAACCAATGACAAAAAACACATGATTATCTCAATAGATGCAGAAAAGGCCTTCGATAAAGTTCAACACCGCTTCATGCTAAAAACTCTCAATAAACTAGGTATTGACGGAATGTATCTCAAAATAATAACAGCTATTTTTGACAAACCCACAGCCAATATATTGAATGGGCAAAAGCTGGAAGCATTCCCTTTGAAAACTGGCACAAGACAAGGATGCTCTCTCTTACCACTCCTATTCAACATACTATTGGAAGTTCTGGCCAGGGCAATTAGGCAAGAAAAAGAAGTAAAGGACACTCAAATAGGAAGGGAGGAAGTCAAATTGTCTCTGTTTGCAGATGACATAATTGTATATTTAGAAAACCCCAGCGTCTCAGTCTAAAATCTCCTTAGGCTGATAAGCAACTTCAGCAAAGTCTCAGGATACAAAATCAATGTGCAAAAAATCACAAGAGTACCTATACACCAAAATAGACAGAGAGCCAAATCATGAGTGAACTCCCATTCACAATTGCTCCAAAGAGAATAAAATAACTAGAAATACAACTTACAAGGGATGTGAAGGACCTCTTCAAGGAGAACTACAAACCACAGATCAAGGAAATAAGAGAGGACACAAACAAATGAAAAAACATTTTATGCTCATGGATAGGAATAATCAATACCGTGAAAACGACCATATTTCCCAAAGTAATTTATAGATTCAATGCTATCCCCATCAAGCTATCATTGACTTTCTTCACAGAATTACAAAAACTACTTTAAATTTCATGGGGAACCAAAAAAGAGCCCATATAACCAAGACAATCCTAAGCAAAAAGAACAAAGCTGGAGGCATCATGCTACCTGACTTCAAACTATACTACAAGGCTACAGTAACCAAAACAGCATGATACCAGTACCAAAACAGATATACAGATCAATGGAACAGAACAGAGCCCTCAGAAATAACACCACACATCTACAGACATAGGAATGGGCAAAGACTTCATGACTAAAACACCAAAAGCAATGGCAACAAAAGCCAAAATTGACAAGTGAGATCTAATTAAACTAAAGAGCTTCTGCACAGCAAAAGAAACTATCATCAGAGTGAACAGGCAACCTACAGAATGGGAGAAAATTTTTGCAGTCTATCCATCTGACAAAGGGCTAATATCCAGAATCTACAAGGAACTTAAACAAATTTATAAGGAAAAAACAACCCCATGAAAAAGTGGGCACAGGATATCAACAGCCACTTCTCAAAAGAAGACATTTATGTGGCCAAAAAACATGAAAAAAAGCTCATCAGAAATATGCTGAAAATTAAAGATGAGAAGAGAAAATAAAATCAGGCAGAGACAAATAAGAGATTACTTTCAAAGGAATAATGAAAAAATTGAGTTAACTTGACTACAGAAATAAGACAAGCCAGAGAAAAAGAAAAAAAATATTTAAAGTATTGAAAGGAAACAGCTGCTAATTTAGAATCCTATAGCTTACAAATATGTTTTTAGAGTAAAAGTAAAATAACTTTCAGACAAATAAAACAAATAATTTACAACCCTCAGATCTGTACTAAAGGACACATTATAATGTGTTCAAGTGAAAAAACAAACAAATCACTACTATATGGAAACTCAGAGATACGGGAAGGAATAAAGAAGAGTAAAAAGGATACATATGGGGTTAAATCTAAAGCATTGATTCTCAAATTTCAGTGTAAATTAGAATCATTCAAAGGACTGAGCAGAAAACTTTGTGAGTCTCTGAATTTTAGGGAGGATTTCTGATTCAATATGTCAGGCATGGGAGTTTACATTTCTAACAAGTTCTCAGGTAATTCTAATGCTGCTGGTCTGGGACCCACATTTTGGGAACCACTGAGGAATATTGGTTGTATAAAAAAAGGTGGAGTTTAAAATTTACATTAAATCACAATCTACTCGCATGTGAAAAATTATTTTTGTGTGACAACAGTTGCGCTGTCTAGTAGGGAAAAAAAGATGATCTTTTTGATAGTCTCCGTAAATGGTACTGAGTAAACAGGTTATTCACATAGAAAAAAATTACTTGACCTATTTCTCACATTATGAGCAAAATACAATCTGGTGAATTGCAAGTCTAAATGTGAAAGGCAACAACAATAAAATTTCTAGACAGTAAACTGGAGAATAAATATCTGAGTAATTATGGGATATTCTAAGCAGGACCTAAAAAGCACTATTCATAGGAGAAAAACTGAATTACCTAAAAATTTAAAATTATGTTGATTAAGAGACAGGGCTAAGAGAGTGAAAGAAACAAGCCATGGACATGGAGAAGATATTCACAACATGTGCAGCTGACAAAGGGTTTATATTCAGAATCTATAAAGAAGCTCTACAATTCAATATTAAAGCAATCAACACCCCACTATAAACATCAGCAAAATCTCTGAAATGACACTTCACACAAATAATGTACAAATGGCCCAAAAAACGTGAAAGTTTAACCTCATTAGTAGTGATGGGAAAGCATACCAAAACCATAATACAATACCCTTGTTCAAAATCAGAATGGATAAAGTTAAAATTATAGACAATAATAAGATTTCTGAGAACATGGCACAGTAAGAACACTCATATATTGCTGGGGGTTGGTGAAACAACCATTTGGAAAACAGTTTGGCATTATTTACTAAATTTGGAGATGCACATTACATATGACCCAGAAATTTTCATTCCTAGGTCTCTCCATGTGCACCAAAAGACATGTGCCAGAATCTTCATACATCATGGTTCATAAGAGCTCCAAACTGAAAACAACCCAAATTTCCCTCCACAGTAGAATGACACACATATTGTAGTAGGTGTATAAAAATGAAATTCTACGGCTGGGTGCGGTGGCTCATGCCTGTAATCCCAGCACTTTGGGAGGCCGAGGCTGGAAGATCATGAAGTCAGGAGTTCATAACTAGCCTAACCAACATGGTTAAACCCTGTCTCTACGAAAAATACAAAAATTAGCCAGGAGTGGTGGCGTGTGCCTGTAATTCCAGCTACTCAGGAGGCTGAGGCAGGAGAATCACTTGAACCTGGGAGGCGCAGGTTGCAGTGAGCCAGGATCACCCCATTGCACTCCAGCCTGGGTGACAGAGGGAGACTCCGTCTCAGGAAAAAAAGAAATGCAATTTTATGCACCATTACTGAATATGAGGGAGCTGCTACATACAACAACACTGACAAAGACAAATCACACAAATTTAATATTGAATGAAAGAGGTCAATCATAACATTACATATAAATGATTACATTTAAGTTCAGAAACAGAAAAACAAAATTGTAGTTATTTAGTTGGTAAAATTTAAAAAAAACAAACAAGGATTACTTTTAAAATAAAGACAGTGTGGCTTCCTTTGTTGGAAAGAGGCCAGTAGTTAGGAGGGGAATGGGAGGGGGCTTTCTGGCTACTGACAATGCTTGGTTTCTTAACCTGGTTGGACACTTACATGTGTGTTTCCCTTGTAAGATAGAATTGAGCCGTACATCTTTATTTTGTGCTCCTTTTTGTGCATATATTTTATTTAACAATAAAGGGAATAAAATGTTTTAAAACATAAAGTACTTACTCTACTCATTTTAAATATAGCAGTAAACCAAACTTTTCTTTCTAGTTACTTGAAAACACCTGAAGTCCTTGATTTAATTATTTTTCCAATAATGCTTTAATTAATACTTTTGTTTAGATAATTTATTCTCATATTCCAGTTCCTACATTACTTTGCATTAATTTGGCAAGGTAGATTAATATTGAATGAAAATCAAATGCTCTGATGTCATCTGAATAAACACCTTGTTTAATTTTAGATGGCTTCGTGTATTCATTTTGGTTTCAGAACTGAGTTCAAATGTATAAGTAGAGAGAGAATAACAGTATAATCACTAAAGTTTTGTAAATATGATTTAAAAATCTTATATATACCTAACTGACCTGCTCCAACAATCCTACTGGGTGATAGAGACTATTTCTATCATATGTAGATATGTTAAAATAAATCTATTTGAAGCAATTCTGTTATTGGTAAATAATAAATAATAAAAATGTCATCCTTCAACCTTCAATACTGGTCATAACATATGCTGGGCCAAAAAATACATTTTATTTTATAAATTCCCTTAAAAATATAGTCTAATATGTCCATCTCAGAGAACAAAATTAAACAACTGTTTTTTCATCAAGGTGAAAGATCTGAATTTTAACTTCACTTACAGGCTAACAAGTTAGCTGGCTGTAGTTTCATGGATGCCGATGGAAGATGCAAAACTCTTGGCTTCGAGATAAAGGATTTTGTCACTCAGGCATAGCGGGCAGTATGAGCATCTGCATATCTTGCATTGACTGGTCCCCTGAGCTCTAATTCCCACAGATAGCTAAGAAAAGAGGATCAAGTGATACTGGCATAAACAATGGGTGGCATTACAGCAGAATAGCTCTGAGTTTAGGGAATTCAAATAAGCTTGCCTACCTTTTGGTCAGGAGAGAGATATCACAGCTTTCAAGGCTTTGTTTCAGATGGAGGTACTATCTCTATCTTCCAATATCTTCCAAGACTATTTACTGTACAAATACCCTTGAGAAGACAGTCTAGAAAAAAGGGCAATTAGTGCCTTGGTCATAAGACAGGTAGAAACACAACGGATCCAGGGAGAATTGTCTCTCCATGTTGGTGATGACTAAAACTTCTTCATACAGTTGATACGAAACATAAATTTTCTTCAACCTCTAAAATATTAGAAAAAATGATTTTTTCAAATGTTTTAAAATGAGAACCAAAAATTTAACAGTTCACATTGCATTCAGCATGCTTGAGAAAGTCATAATCACTTAAAATCCTAGAAGGACCTTATATATAGTGCATATATATAACACACATATACACACACTTAAGTGGTTTATTTTCTGCCTTCCCCATTTAAAACATAAATTCCTTGACAATAATGACTGTGTGTGTGTGTGTGTGTGTGTGTGTAATTTATTGTCTTATTCGGGTTCCTACATTAATTTGCATTAATTTAATTAATAAATGCTCTAGCTCTACCATACAACCCTTTTCCTTCTTTCTTTTTATCAACACCATCGCCATGAGAAGAGCAAAAACAAGTGTGCCTGTATTTTGAGGGTTCTCATAGTCATCAACATTGAAAATGACAAGATAAGAAATGTCAAGATAAGAAAATGACAAAATTTGCTTATCTTCAAGACCACCTCCTATACACAGAATGCAGAAAAATGCCCCACACCTCGTGGAACTCAGTAAATATTAGTTGCATTGAATTAACTTCAATTCAAGACCCCATTCTACAGTTTATAAAGTCAAAAGTTGCTCTTAGTAACACGCTCAGTAATATGTGCTGTGTTTTGAAAATAGAAAATATCCCTTTTCCTCAAATCCATAGATAGTCATATTAAGCGCAAGGACTTCTGTTTATTTATAATGATTCTCATATACAGATGCATACAACTGAAGGAAGGATGGTATGTGTTTCCAGAAATATTTGCTTTATGATGAGATATGAGTGAAGTTCCTATTTTTTTCTTCCTTTGAGAATTATGTTTTTATTATCATTTACCCTAGTGCTCATTTTCATCCTCTTCAACAGAAATTTAGCAGGGAGACTGGTTGAAAAACTATTCATATAAGTTCCTCCGGAGGCTTAATCATCAGTACATTGTCTTGGAACCACTCTGGTGTTTTCTAAATTAAATATCTCTGTCTACAACAAATGCGAAAAGTACAGAATGTTTCCGTACTCCTTCTACATCAAAATTGCCTCCTACAGGAACGAGAAAATGCGTGTCAATGTGAATTACCGTCTACAACAGCTACTCTCCAGGCTGATCTGGGGTCTTGCACACAAAGGGCGAAGAGAGGGGCGTGGGGAGGCTGGAAAGCATGGTTGCCCCGCCTGGCCCGGCGACGCCCGCTCAGCAGCCTGCTGAGGAGTGGGGACGAAGAGCAGCCTAAACTTAGGGCTCGGGATATTTCGATGCCACCCAAATTGCCGTCCTACCCCAACGAGGCAGGGAAAGGAGCGGAGCGCGCGCGCGAGCTGAGTGAGTGCTTACGTCGCAGCGAGATCTGTGCTGGGATAATTAGAGAGGAGTTGGGCTGAGCCGAGTCCTCTTTCAGCAGCAGCAGCCGGAGCCGCCGCCGCAGCCCGGTGGGGCAACCCTGACTCGGACCGCTCGGGAGAGCCCCAGGAGAGGCCAGCGCCGCGCAGCAGCCGCCCCGCTGCGCCCACCTCCCCGGCTGCTCCCGGAGGGCTCACAAAGGCGGTGGCCGCCCGAGTGGCCTTCTCCATCCAGGCGTTCGCGTCCTCCTCCCCACCTTCTCTCCCGAAGGCGAAAATGGCAGGGCCAGGCGAGAACCTGGGACAGCGGTGGCCCTAGCCCTGCGATCCTCACCCCTCCTGCTAGGAGAGGCTGCGGGCTGCCCGCGGACGATGTGGCCGCGGCTGCTCCCGAGCGCATCTTCGGCCCGGGTCCCCGCCGCCACCCCTCTTCTCTGCTCCTTCCATCCCGCCCAGAGGAGTTGATGCCGCTGTCGCCGCCGCCGCCGCTGCTGAAGCCGCGGCTGATGGATGCCAGGGAGTGCCGCATTGCTTAGCGACCCCGCCTCTGGGTTTGCTGGTAGGAGCGGCTGCTCTTTCTTCTTTCTTGCTTTGGGGTTTTATAGAAAAGATAAGGACATTTTTATTTTATTCTTCACAACGTCCTCCCCTTCTCTTCGTTTTTGAAATGTGCATTCCCAGAGATATCCCCGGTCCCCTCCCTCCCCCTCCCCCCTTTTCTCCAACCCCGCGGCAAGTCCGTGGAAATGAAGGGCTAGAGGAAGGCAGAAGTTGGGGGTGGGGTTGGGGGAGCCCACGCTGGTACCAACGCCACCAGAACCCCTGCTGGTGCCTTATGAGATCACGGTGTATCTCAGAGGGGTGGTGGGAAGGTGCGCTATCTGCAGAGTCTTCACCTAATTGGATCACAATAATCTTAAATAAATCACACAAATTTGTCTTTTAAAAATAGCGTCTTTGAATAAGTACAGGGAGAAATAATCTCCTTTCTCCCCCCTCTTTCTCTCTGTCTCTTTTTCTTTCTGGCAAAGATGATCTCTCTCCGCCCTGGAGCTCAGCGCTGAAGAGCTACCTTATTATTAATCAGAATTTCCATCGCCACCCCTGGCAGGCGTATCCTTCAGCAGGGACCGCAGGAACATTCACAGTGCAGGGGCTGAGATGTGCGTGGGGGTTGTTTTTGTTACATCTTGGAAGAGAAGAGAAGAGGACAGTACCAAGATCAGAAACACCCGTGCTAGGTGGAATTAGGGGTGATTTGTTAGGAAAGAGAAAGGACAAGAAGAGGAGTGCGGAGCCCTTCAGGGGTTCACATCTCTTTAAAGGAAAGGAAAGAGGGAGCCAAAGTAGGGTGTTGTATTTTAGGGGGCAGAGGAAGAAGTTTACACCCCCCGGCCCCCCCAGCTTTGCTGGGGGAAAGCAGGAGCAACAGGGCACTTGATTGGACACCAAGATTATTAATTTCCTGTAGGGGAGAGGAAGCAGGCAGCAGGAGGTCTGGGGGCTGGAGTCTGGTGGTGGCAAGGACCAGGTTTGCTTTGGGACAGTCAACAAGGTCTTCTGAGGGAAAGCTCAGAGATAGGCAGAACAATGACTCATTTGCAAGCCGGTCTCTCCCCTGAGACCCTGGAGAAAGCTCGCCTGGAGCTCAATGAAAACCCAGACACGCTGCACCAGGACATCCAGGAGGTGAGGGATATGGTCATCACCAGGCCGGACATTGGCTTTCTGCGCACGGATGATGCCTTCATCTTACGCTTCTTGCGGGCTAGGAAGTTTCATCACTTTGAGGCCTTCCGCCTCCTGGCGCAGTACTTTGAGTACCGGCAGCAGAACCTGGACATGTTCAAAAGCTTTAAGGCCACCGACCCTGGCATCAAGCAGGCACTGAAGGATGGCTTCCCTGGGGGCCTGGCCAATCTGGACCACTATGGCAGGAAGATTCTAGTCCTTTTTGCTGCCAATTGGGATCAGAGCAGGTAAATCCTAAATCCAAACTTGTATTCTCCTTTTACTCTCCCATTTTCCAGAATTTACCCCGAGTAGTGTCATGGTTTTGTAGATTTGATATTTTTGTTTATTTGGCTTGGAGAAAAGAGAAACAAACCAGGAGATGAGTTTTTGGTGGGCACCCTGGGAAGGGAGGAGGGCTTGTATTTTTACTTTTAAAACTTACTTCACTAACACCCACTTTCTACTGCAGCTTTAAGGTGCTACCTTAACCACGTTATTGCACAGAGATCTAAATCACTTAACTTGTAAATAAAGCTTCTCTGTATGTTTCACCTTCTGAAAAAGTTTATTGGGCTGGATAAACCAGTAAGAAAATGGGGACAACTTTTCCTCCTTCTTCCTAAAAAAATTCTTAAACTAGACCCATCATCATTGTCATCATCATCATCATCATCCTCTCTTTGGTACTGACGTTTTATCTTTTAAGCATAGCCTGGCGTTCGACCAAAAGCAAGTAGTTTTGTTGCTTGGGAAGTTCTCTGTTTGGTGATGTGTAGAAGAAGGAATAATATGATTTGTGTCCCTTCAGTGAAAGGAAGAGTTGCATCCTCTGTCGCTGAGCATGCCTGCTGACACTGAAAATGTACACTGACTGGTGTATGTGTCCTACACCTGCCACTAATCTAAAGAATCTGTCTCCTGTCTCATGTGATTTTTCATCTTTTGGAAGGAAGTGGAAAATATTCAGATGTGTCAGTTGGTGGACTTTTTGAGCTCATGTGCTACTTAATAGAGAAGAAATAATATTCTTTTTATCTACATTATTATAGAAAAATGCAGGCAATGACACTTCTCTGTCCTCCTTCAGAACTGTTTTCTCAGACTGAAAGATATAAGAAATTATAAAAGGCTCTTGTGCAAGGTAGTTTCAATTAAGTTCAAAGTTAAATATATTTCATGGGACTTAAAATGCTACCAGAGCTATGAATCATAAGAAGCTGCTTGTTAAAACATTGGTGTATTTTTAGTTCTGTGAATGGTGACTTTCAATGCATCTGGTTAGTTTAAATCATCTCTGGAGCCATCGTACAAGACATTTACAGTTACCAAGAGGGCTTATGGATCATAGAGATTTCCAGATAGGCTTCCGAGTCTTGGTATCTTAGAATGTAAATTAATATTTTTAATTATTTTTTCTCTCATTTTATTGTGATTTTTTTCCCTGTAATTCTAGGTTGACAATCACTCCAATTTTTTTAGGCAAATAGAAAGACAAACTACTACCTGAAGATTCATAATGCTAAGAAACTCATACAGAGTTAGCCATTCAGAGGGAATGGAGTTTTGTTACTTACTTTGGCCAGTTATAGAGATGTTATTCCACTTTTTATCAGGTAGCTGAAAATTTTAAAGAATTACAACTTTTTATTCATTGACCACAATTTTTGTTTAAAAATGTTTTCTTTTCATCCTAAAAGTACATTGTAGGATCATGCAAATCAATGACTGTGTATAACAGAACTGAAAAATTTTATTCAAGGAAAAAACTAATATTCTGTATGTCAGATTGGAACTTTGTTAATTGAGCTATAGTGAAATGGAACCTGGAAATTTTATATTTATATAAATCTCGAAGTCTGTTAGAGATACCATTATGGGGGCAGATTGCATTCAGAGAGGCATACATATATATCAGACCTATTTTCATGAATTTCTATAAGTGAACTAATATTCATAATTATTTGTAAACCTAATTAAGATGAAAGTCACTTATAGTTTTCATATATATGAGAAAGTGATAATTCTGAATTTATTAGAGACACTGTGTTTTAGTTGTCTATCTCATGCTTCCATATAAAGGGCAGACAACTAGTAATCAAATTCTCTTTCCCTAGAAATCTATAATGGAAACGGAGTTAATAATTGGTATATAGAATTACATTTCATTAAACTTACACATAATCTTAAATACTAAAATGTGTATTAGAACAAAATGAGAAGCTGTGTTCTGTAGAAATTTCCTGTCAAGATGTCTAGACTTGTAATTATGAATTCTATTTCTATGGTTGGAAATAAACAGGTATAATCAAGAAATTATCGCACCTCAAGGTGAAAAGGTATACAAGTGATTTAGAGCTTAGTCAAAATTTCAGTTGAATTTCTTCCTATATTAAAAAAATAATAATTCCCTCTTCTTTCCCACCTTCCTTTTATCCTAAATCTACATAACCCAATGACAGGGACTAGTAGACAAACAGATCTGTCACCTTTGCACCCTCTATAAACCTTTATCACTGGAGCATGTGCATAAAAACGTCCTTGGCTCCTGCTCTGAAACTCAAAGGACAGCTGCCTTTCTGCCAATGCCAGGATGTTACCAACACTTCTTAGCCTGAGTCCCTTTCCTCTACCCCGAAGGCTCCTTGACTCCTACAGAAGTCTGCCTCTTTCCCTAGGTGTTTAAGTTACTATTATTGCTCTGTTAGGTGGATAATGCCATGTGCTAGTTTCTCTTATCCCTCATCCCTCCCCTGTTCTGTGAGTGAGATGTTCTCACCTTCCAGGCCCTGATCCCACCAATCCAAAGCTACCTGGATTTCTCCAGAAGACTGCATGTCTGAAAATAATCCTGGCAACATTCTTTGAGTTGTTAAGTGAAGCACCTGGCTTTCAACAACTTTCTTAAAAAGTAGCCTGTTTTAAAGAAACAGTGTGTGAGAAGTGTAGATGATTACATAGATAAATTCTAGAAATGAGGCGGAAGAAAATGCCTCAGTTTATTTGGAAAACAGGTTATTTATAATTTTCCAACTACAAAAGGAAAAACAAGATTTTATGAATTTTGAAACAATTCGTAAAGACCCCCAATAGAATTGATCTAACAAAAAGACTGTCATGTTATTATATTTAGTACGGCACTTGAACTAGAGTAGATGCTCAATAAATATTTGAGTTGAATTGAGTTATGCATTTGTATAAAAAGAATTCTGAGTAGAGATTTATTTGATATACGCTTTCTCCTATATGAAATTTGTAGGACAGTTTTCTGTGCTCTTCAGGACACTGAAAACAGTAAAACCGTGTGAGACAGTGACTATAAATAAAATAGTGTCTGTTTCTGCTGCAATTTAGTGTAGTTTACTTTTAGGTTATTGTAAAGAATTGGATGATTTCCAAAGCCTTTTTGAGAGACATGGCATCATTAAGAAGACTAACATAAAATCCTAATATTTACAGTGTACCCACCTTCTAACAAATCTAAAAAAAAATGGAAATACTCAAATGTCAAAATGAGTTGCAGTGTGGCCTGTGGTTCTTCCAAAAAACAATAGGGCAAGCCCAGATGACCTGTTACATTTATTGAGCTGTACCTTGGAAAAGATTCATATAATTTTATCTCCTTTTAGATTGCCTTACATAATTTCTGACAACAAAAGTAAATGCCATGGAATTAAAAACTATTTGACTGTTACACTGCATCACAAAGATGCCTTCGTCCTCCATGTATTGCATATTGTTTTCCTTCCTAAATGGTAGTGACCTGCTTAGGACTCAGCAAATACCTTCAAATGGTTCGCAGGATCTTATCAACAGGTGTGAGGATAATGTGCCGTAAAGCTAGCAGAGGTTAACACTGCTGGAGAAAAGGAAGCTTGGAAAGAAAGTACATGGCATTCTAGGTCCTAGAGCATGCAAGCATGTATCTAGGAAGTTGAAATCCACTGTCACATAATTGTTGGAGATATTCATGAGTGAAATTGTGTCACCTGAAACATAATGATGATAGGAAGTGTCAGAGTTCACCTGTAAGTTGTCAGCCTGCAAGTCATATTTTATTTCTCTAGATCTCATTAGAAGTATGTACTTCACTATACTTTAGTACAGCAAACAACCATTTATCTGGAATATGGTTAATAGTCATTAGAAACAGTAATTCTCAGTAATTCTCTGAACTTTAGTATAGCAAACAACCATTTATCTGGAATCTAGTTAATGGCCATTCGAAAACAAACACAGTTAGAACCAAAATGATTCTTAATATGGTGGCAATCCAGAAAGCACTGGCCACCTTGCATGGTCTTTGGCTTATCATAGTGGACATTGATTACCACTTACAGTAGCGAAGCTCTGGAAGGGGCAGAAAACTGATTGGTCAGACATTGATATGATACTCTAACTTATCCTGGAATTTGCCCAAAAAACTTGTCAGTTTGCTCCTATTGTGTGGCTTTTTCATTCAAAAGCAAACATTGTATGAATGGTTGCTATTTGTGGTTCAGTTTGAATTATGATTATGCTTGCATTTACTAAAATAATATGGCCAATGTTCAGAATAGAAGGTTATGGTGATGATAACTTACAATTTAAAACATAGCCATAGACTACACAGATGGGCATTAATGCCAATCACAAAGCTTTACTCATCTCTGGAATTGTACTAAAAATAATAAAATAAAATAAAATAAAATAAAATAAAATGAACAGGAATAGATTAAAACAGTCCAGGGCAATTATCCAGATAATTATGGAGAAATATTTTTACTCTGCAACAAAAAAAGCAAAAAAATAAGAAGTTTAATTTTTCAGCTTAATTTTTCAAGAATTCTTTTCTCAGTTTATTAACATATTAAATAATTCCCAGCTTTTTGCTTCACATTGTCATACCTACTGGCAGAGTCTGGAGTCTAGGAGTCCTTTTCGTAAAAATTCTGGAGGCATGGCTTTGCCATCTTTTGGGTGGATACTGGTTAGGGCAAAACCACAAATGGCAGATATGTATTCCATGGGACTTCTCTCCCAGCAGAGCTTCCATCTTGCTTCCTTTCAGGGAAACTCTTTTAACAAATCCTCTGCTAACTGCAACTTATTCCAAACTATAATCTTGGTACATATCATGGCAAATAGGGGAGGAAAAAAAGTTGTCCTGAGAAATGTTGGAGGAATATGGTGATGAATCTCTGCAAAAATAGGACAATCTCCAAAAACTGGGGCAATTATGCAATAATTAGTAAAATAATCCCGAAATAACAGCAAAAACTACAAGTGCCAACCTTCAGTAGGACGTTGACTAAGGCTGGCCTGAGCCAAGCTATTTTCATGTTTCAAAATCAACTTTAAAGAAGGTCGAGAAGCAAAGGACTTGAGGTTACTACGGTGTCCTGAAAGGATGCCTCAAAAGAAATGTTTAAAGATATTTTAAAACATGAGCCAATAGTTAGTATATTAAGAAGTTATCCTTAGTAAATTAATACATCTCCTCCTTTCTGTGGGAAATGTTAAATTCTCTTACTTTACTGAGGGCAGGTACATCTATTTCACTATTATAGTAAGTGGCTATTACACTATTATCGTAACATGAAGGAAAGGATACTCCTGTATGTGGGATCGTTATGATACCATATGACAAACTGAGTGATTAATATTTTGGTCAAATTAATTGAAAAAAATACACTTTGAGAATTTGTTATGTACATAGCATTTTAGTAGGTACTGGGGGCAAATAAAGACACATACTTTGTACTTTTAAGCAATATGTAACCTCTCTGGGAAGAAAAAACATGTAAAGCTGAGTAACTATCAGAGGTCATATGCAGCTAATGAGGACACTGTTTACCAGTGCTAGAAGCTGGGGACAGGTGGGCAGCTGTGGGCTACTCAGTGTTGTGTAGGAAAGACATTGCCTGCTTGGTTAACTGAATTCAACATTTATTGTTCCATTTTATTCATTATTCATTTCAAAATAATTCTACTGTGTGTATTGTAGCAATTAAGTACTTCACTCATGATCATACAACTGGTAAGTGAATTAGTCGCTTTTTGTGTGTGTGTGTGTAGACAGTTACCAACCTAAATCTAGGGAAAGGCAAATGTATAAAAAAAATCAAATTCTGATAATTAAAGATAATTCCATCTATGGTTTAGAAAATCTCGATTAAATATAACAAAACAGGCAATTAGGAACAGAACGTTAAGATGGAAGAATAAACTTTCTGAAGTCAAAGACTTTAGTTAACTAGATGTTTGCTTAGAGTACTTGGCCCTGATAAAAATAATTGCTTTCTGATGTGTTTGTATTCTCCCAGCACAATTCTGTTTTATTTTGTTTTATTTTTTGGTGGCAATAGATGCAAAAGTTTTTTCTTTACCCGTCTTCTTCAGAGAAAGACATTTTGCCCGCAGATGTTTCATTTCCAACGATTCTCTTGTTCTCACTCACCTACATTCCCACAGCAGTAAAATTAAAGCAAGGCTCAGACATCTAATCTTCTGTGCTCAGTAATACAAGCCAGACAGATGAAATTTCAAGAGTTCATATTTATTCCAGGGATTGTAGATTTAGCCATTTCTTATTCTGAGTCCTAAGGATGTCTTATTGCTTTTCCTCCACCAAAGCTCCCTATTGTGGTGAGGCTGGAGAGTGCCAGGATATTGACTTCCTGATCTCCTATTTTCTGACATATATATTATGCTACCATGAAAAAGCAGACCAGGCCAGGCACGGTGGCTCACGCCTGTAATGCCAGCACTTTGGGAGGCCAAGGCGTGTAGATCACCTGAGGTCAGGAGTTGGATACCAGCCTGGCCAACATGGTGAAACCCCGTCTCTACTAAAATTACAAAAATTAGCCAGGCCTGGTGGCGGGCGCCTGTAATCCCAGCTACTTGGGAGGCCGAGGCAAGAGAATCACTTGAACCCAGGAGGTGGAGGTTTCAGTCAGCTGAGATCGTGCCATTGCACTCCAGCCTGGGCGACAAGAGCAAAACTCCATCTCCAAAACAAAAACAAAAACAAAAACAAAAACAAAAAACAAAAAAAAAAAAAACCAATTATCTATTCATCAAACTCTGTTCTGAGTAGGAGGCACCATGGAGAGGGAAAGAGCACTGGTCTATGTGGTATCAGAAAGATTTGGCTTTGAATCTAGGTTCCCCTTTTTTCCTAAGGTGATTTAAAGCAAACTGTTTAATTTTCTCTGAGACCCTCTGTCCTCATCTGTAAAATAATAAGAACAAATCCAGCTCAGAGATTTTGCAATTGTTTTGAGATTAAGATAATGCATTTGAAATTGCTTTGGAAATCTTAAACTATTACCCAGATAGACATATTATTATTATTACCACTCAGTAATATAAAACACCTAGAAGGCTTCATCAGCTTTACCACTAATAATACCCTGAGGCATTAATAAAGGTAATTTTTCTCCTTTTTTCCCCTCCCCCTAGCACCTTCTACTATGAAGTGCTTCAGACATTAGAAAATGTGGCTTAATGAAAACTGAGGGGTGGGGGAAGCCTAAATAAAGAATTTAATAATGGCTGATTGATTTAGTGACAAAGAGAAATTGCTGGTGTTATGCTGCTCAGTGCGATGCCAAGATGCTAGTTTTTTCTTGTCATGCTGAAAAGGTTGAAAAGTAGAGGGATATGACCTATTTGTCATTAAGTTGATCTTTGCACTGACTGAAAGCTATGGTAGAGGAGGAGATGCTGAGAACCCCAGCAAAGAAGCATGGGTCAGGTAGTCACCAAAAAAATTGCATGGCCAGAGGCAGGAGAAGAAGCTTCTCTGATCTAAAAAATTGAGGGGGCTCCTGATTGCAGGCAGGGTGCCACCCCTCCACAGTGTGGCAGGACAAGGCTCTTGTCCTCTTTCTGGTCCAGGAGCATGTTTTGTATTGGGCTGACAGGGAAGCCTTAAGTGAATGTTATATTTAAATGATGCCATTATGGCACTTTGATGACTGTAAATGTAGATATAGGTAAAATAAAGCAGCATGGTCTATGCCCTTGGGAAATAGTTTGATTTTAACATATATTATTGTGCACCCACAGTGTGCAGCGAACAGTATTTGGTGCTGAAGATAGAAAGTGGTATCAAACAGTGAAAGAGTTTTTAAGCTAAGCTTATATGTCTGGGGCCATAGAACAAACACTGAAGCACTATAATTTCAGAATATGAGAGAGAGGGCGCTGAGGTCTCCAGCAGGTCAAGACAATCTTGCAGAGCAGGGAAAGCTGGTGGCGGGCCCAGAGGAGGGCAGAACTTAGGTGAGGTGAAAAGGAAGGGGAATGTTCCCCTAGATTTAAGTGAACATAAAGCATCGGAGTGTACCAGCTTGTTGGGGGTTGAATATGACCTTGACAGCTGGGGTGAGCCTATGCATGGGTGTACAAAACAAGAAGTATGGTTATTAAGGGAATGGTGCAGTTTTGAAAGAGCCATGGGGGAGTGGTGTTGTGTGCAGGACAATTTTTCAGGCCAATTAATGTTTTAGGACAATTTATCTCACAATAGAGGGTAGGCAAGATTTCTGGAAGAGAAAGATGGGAGAGAAAGAAAAAGAGACACAAGTGCCATTATATTAGGAAATAAAGCTAGGACTCTAGTAGAAAGAGTTAGATGCCAAAGATGTATAAATATATAAAAGACAAAAAAATTTAGGACTTGGTGAATAAATGTAGAGGGAGAAGGAAAGGGAATATTTGAGAATGATTCTTCATTAATTGATTAATGTACGCAATCCCAGAGGAAAATGGGAGACACTAAATTGAGTTACACTAATATATGTCAGGTAGCAAGGAGTCACTAAGGTGCTGATGTTCAGATGGCAACTAGAAAGATGAGGATGTTGCACAGGACTGACACTAGCTCTGTGGATATCGAGCCGTCACCAATGTATTGGCCAAGGGGATGAGTGCATGATTTGGTAACTCCAGGAGATACTATATGATGACAGCAGGGGAACAAAGTCTTATTTCTACATTTGGATGATCGCAGCAGGGAACCAAAGATGAAAGATAATAGACTGACCAGAAAAGTGGAAGGAAAAAAAGTTCAATGCAGCGTCACAGAACCAAATAGAAGAGTTTCAACAGCAATAATCGCAGAAAATATTTATGGTTTCTATTATATGTCAAGTACTGTTAAAAACTTTACATATATTATTTTGTTTCATTTTGTCCTCACAATAATTCTATGAAGTTAAGATTAAGTGGTTAAAAAGTACAAAAAGCAAGTATAGAATATGTGATTGTTGAAAAAGCAAAAGTCATACAATTGTAGAAGTCATAGAAGTTAACATTTATTGTTTGCTATGTGCTACCCATTGGGCTAAGTAGTTTACATTCTGTCCTATGAGGTAACTATTATTATCATCATTTTTAAAAGAGAAAAGGGAGACTTAGAAAAGTTCAGTAACTTCAAGGTGTATGAGACTAAGCTGCGATTAGGCAAATAATCAAGGATCCCCATTTTATTTTGTATTTGTTAATAGCTGTGAGTTTTACTTTAAAAAAGGCTTTTAAGTTACATAAACATGCCCCAAATAATTAATTCATGAATATATATCCTACTGTGCAAGGAAGACTGATTTCATAACTGAAAAATTTCAAGAGGTATTAGATGTTTTCCTTCTGATTGCACAGGTAGTACATAGTTGCTATGGGTATTAAAGTCTGCTCCATATGTTTTTTATGTGTTCTAGCAGCTTTTATTCTTTTCAAGAGCAGTATTCTACATAGTCTGGTGTCAGTTGTAAAATTTCTTATTGGTGTCATGATTTCTTCTTACTGCATGCTACACAGCATTCTTTTCACAAATTCAAATTTTACTTAATGCTATTTTGAGAAGCACAATCAGGAGTCAAGAGCTGCAATTATGTGCTAGTTTTGATTTATAGCTTTCTTTCAGCATACAAGAGAAGAATAACAATAGTGGAACTCACACAATTTCAGTGTAAACCCCAAACATGAACAAGTAGAGTATTTCATTGTAGTGACCTCTAATTTGTAAATTATAACAGTTAAAATAATTTTAAAAAGGAGAGTATGGCAGGAGTCCTGAAGAGATAAAATTCATAGATGCTACATTTCTTTGGAAGATATTTTACAGATTCTGGCAAGATCCTGTGTAGTACTGTTCTGCTGAGGAATAGCCTGCTGAGCTGCTAATGGTAATAATGTGAGATGTTTGACAACAGAGGAGTGGAGTTAAGAGTGGTTTTGACCTGCCCATTGAATGGAGTTAGCTAGTGTATTTTTATGTTTCTTTTTCTAAACTTCTAAATTAATGTAATTTTTATAAAAATCATTTGATTCTCTTCTTGGAGCCAGATATTGAATTCAAAAAAGGTGGTTAGACTTACTCTTGATAATTTTGCAAACCTACTTTTCTTCATTGCTGATTTTGGGATTTGCCTTATATTATTTCCTTTGGAATAATGATATGTGTATCAACGTTTATCTTGATTTTGAAACAGTTTAGGAGAACCATACTTCAAGTGTGTTATTTAAAACACATTGCCTCTTGTTTTCAGTCCTTACTGGTACCTTGATTAATTTTTACTACATACAATGTATCATCCTTCCAAAGCTGATTTCAAATTTAAATTTTATTTAATGCCATTTTGGTATTAATGCTATTTGATTTCTTATGGATAACATAAGAATGGTCAACCTCATAATGAGGGAAACCTTTGAAGTTAGACTTTTTGAATCCTTGATTTTCTTCACCGTGATATTATTATGAATTTCAGAAATTAAAACTTTTTTTTTTTGGTGGGGGTCTGAATTTCAACCAGAAATACAGTCTTCCTGCTCCAACCTTCCAATGCCTGTGTTTATAGGTTTCAGGTCCTGACAGTGTGTCAGGCCATTATGTTTAAAATGGAGGTAGGCCAGCCATAAAGGGACTTTTAAAGGTGTTCACCCACACATGTTTCAGAGATTTAATAACAAATACATAGCAGAGCTCTATAAAAAGTTTTATTATTTTATATATTCAGATAGTTTTTTGGATGCTGTATCCCTAGGCCTTTTGACTTTTGCCTTTTATAATACTAATAGCCTATCCTAAAGATTATCATTTCTGATTTATACTCTGCCTAGTAAACTATATCTGTGCTTATCATTCTAACAAAAAGTATGCTATGTGTGTATTCCAACCAACATTTACTGAACACCTGTTTATACCGAGAACTGTGCAAAATTGCACAAATGTTTTCACCTGAGTCATCTCTTTGATGACTCTCTGGTGCTGCCCTCAGTCCTCCCCCAAACATGGCCAATGAGATAATGAGAATAGCATGAGATAGGGACAGTTAACTGATCCTCAGAATTATAAATCAGCGACATATCCAGGACCATATGGCTAATGAGGTGCTGGGCAGAGATTGCATCTTGAAGTCTTCTGACACCATGCCCTGTGCTTGATTAATGCTAGGATTCTAAACAAGATTCTGTTCCAAACTGCTGATTTTACAGGTGAAGAAATGAGGTCCTGAAATGGTAAGAAATTGCCTGAAGTGCTAATGTTAATTATTCTTTCCTTTCTGAACTACTATGCTTTCTCCTAGCACATCCAAGTGTTTTTAGAAGTAAAAATAGACCTACTTCCTCATATATCTTCACTGTATCATACTGCCTTCCTAACGAACTCATCATTTCCACTAAATGGGAATGATTTCGACTCCTAATCCACTCCCCTCCCCATCCTGCCTCTTCCCTGAGGTCCAGATCTCTTTCTCTAGCTATTCCTGAAATCTCTCCTGAGTGTGTCCGGGGAAAAAACTTAAAATGCAAAGTGTACAAAAATTGAAATTGTTAACATCTTCCATAAAATTTCTCACTCCTCTTAAAGTGCTGAGATTTCTAGGGATTCCCTTTTTAGAATAATTATCTGATATTTCTCTTAGCTCTGACTGCATTACCTCCTTCACTTCATTGAACTTAGAGTCTATAAGCTTTTAATTCCAGAATTTTCAGTTTTGGGCTCTCCCCTGAGTTTAGGATCCATTTGTTTCAGAAGCTTGCTTGATATACCTCTCTGGGTATACTACATGTTTCTCAAATACAATAAGTTCTATTCAAAACTTTGTATTCCCAGCCATTTCCAACAGTATCCTATTTTTGCATTATTGATATTGATTAAAAATTTTACTATGTATTCAGGCTCTGAAGCTAAAATATGTGTCATTTTTTACTCTTCCCTAATTTCAGTCCTCACATTGTCACAGTATAACAAGATTGTCTAAAATGCCACTCAAATTTGGCTTCTTATTTTTGTTCTTAGTTCCGTTGCCTCCATTGAAGCAGTGTCTTAATCTCCAACCAGTGTCTTTCTACTCTAGTCAAGTCACTTTCACAGTAATATAAAGAGCATTTATTGGGTTACTGGAACGTTTCAGGAACTAACCTGCTAAGGTGAAAAGCAGAAAACAAAACAAAACAAAACACAACAAAAAAAGATCCAACCCTTGAATTAGGATGGTTTGTATTATTGTAGGTAAATTTCCATGACTTTTCCCACTTTTATTTATATTTATCTCCTTCTCTTTCTATCCCTACCACCTTTCCTTTTCTTTATGATACAAACTCAATACAAGTAATTTGAATTGAGTAACTTTTATTGATAGCTGTCATGTACAGTGTTTTCATTTATTGATGAGACTCACTCAAATCTCATTCTCAGTTTTTTCAAATACGAAGATATGAAATGTCAATATTACTGAAGGCATTCTTGAACCACTTAAAACGTGTGATGCCTAGTTTTGGGTTAGTTGAATGAGATTTTAGAAAATCAAAAGAAGGCCTGGAGGTAAACTAAATGATGATAAAATATGAAAAAGCGTTTCCATTTGTTTGGGCAGAATACATGTTAAATTCGATTATGTTCTTGGAGTACATATAAATTAAACCTCTTCCTAAAATAGGTTTTTAAACAAAATTATTTCCTTAAGATTCTGAAGGTATTTTAAAGTGAATTTTTAGTGTGCTAGAAAATATTTTATAGCTTTTTGGAAAAGTGGTTGTCAGACCTAATTTAGTACTTTTCTGTCGCCGATAGGTACACACTGGTGGATATTTTGCGTGCCATCTTACTTTCTTTAGAAGCCATGATTGAAGATCCTGAGCTTCAAGTGAATGGGTTTGTTTTGATCATAGACTGGAGTAACTTCACTTTCAAGCAAGCCTCTAAACTCACACCAAGTATGCTGCGATTAGCTATTGAAGGCCTGCAGGTAGGATATGGAAATTACCTACTTCCTTGGTCTCTTGTGTTTGACTTCTCTTGTCTAATGTGTTAGAATGAAAAAATGTCTTACTTACAGAATAACAAAAACAAAAAAAATCTGTAGTTTTTGAGCACAAACATTAAAATACTAACTGAAGAAAGGATTATAGAAGAAACGCTGAAGGAAGAGAGTTTGTGACACTAGTACAGTGCTCCCTGTCTAAACAAATACAGGTAATGAGCTGAGATTTTTAATCTGAAAATCAGAACAAGCAACATTTTTTAGATTGTAATGATTAGCTATTTAGGCTTGTTTTTGTTTCTTTTTTCTGTGCCTATTAATTAGCTAAATATTTTCTTCATTATTTCATTTAACCTGGTGAATTTGGGATATGATCAGCAATATGTTCAACTGTTGGAAAGTCAATCAATATGTTTTTTGGTCTCTAAGATGCAAAGATCATCTCTCTAAATTTTCTTTAGACTTCATTGGGTTTTTTTGTGAGTGGGAGGGGCTGTCACATGGAATTTATATAGGAATAGTGCTTCTTCCAGTGAGTAATGTTTAACTACTTGGGAATTAGAAGATGGGAAACATATTATTATTTAGTGGTCTGTCATAAACCTGCTATTGTCAAGTTGCTTTTAACTTCCAGGGTGTCCTTCTATTCTCTCTCTTTGCTTTATGCTACTTTGTGTACAATGCTTATGGAATTGATTTTAAACTTCTAAAAATATTTACAAGTTAGTCCTTGAGTGATGTAATTCATTAGACTGGGGCATCAATGTTGAGTAAGCCCAAGTCATCTAGATTTTTACTCATTAGTAATTTCTGACTGCATCTATACACACCTAAATTGATAACTGCTGACCTCTTAAAAGTGGGCAACTTTTCCAGGTGCTGGAAATCTTCGATTTCTGCCTCTGGACTGAATAAGACACACTGATGTTTCTTCTCCATATAGGTTTTTCCTGATGTAGGCTTCCTGACTTGCTCTTGGTGAGACAGCCTTGCTCCTCTCTTATCTTAAACAATGCTTTTTAAAAACCTCCACAGGGACAGTTAATACAGGATGGTAGACAGCATAAGATAATGCATGTTTGGAAATGTGTATATCATATAGAATCAGTCCTAACTCTGCCCTTTTTCCAGCAATGTATATGGTGTTCTTCAGTTTGTGAACAAGATTGGTTACCACCCACTGTGTTACCTAACACAGAATGGTAACCTAGCCTTTTATAATTGTTATCCCTATTTAACCTGTGTCTTCTCTTTGCACTAGAGCTAGGCTAGGCCTTCAGCTCCTGAAGGACTGGAGAACTCATATTTTTCTTTCCCAAGAAATTAAAAAAAAAACACTTCAAGAATAGACTCTTGCTATTTTCCAACCTACTTTATGGAGTTTTTTAATAATACTGTGATAAGTCATTGCAGGAGAACAAACTGACAATTTGGAGATGTTTGGGAGCTTCCTTGTTAGCTGTAACTACTATCAGAAGTTCTTTAAGTGCTACCTGTGAACACCAAGGAACTACACTCAGATGAAACCTCTGTGCTTATGTCTAGTGAAGGAAATAATCCCATTCTCTGCATGGACCTGTAATGGCTGCACATTTGGAGCTGCCTTCTCTCTGTTCCCCAAAAATATCTCAGCCCCTTTCTCCTTTTTCCCAGAACACAAGACAGAGTAAGAAGGGTTGATTCCTCCTAATTCCCAATTAAGACGCCACTTAAGAGAAAAAAGCTCTTCCTGGGAATAGATTTGATGTGTTACTAACCTTTAAACTCATTTTTATTTTAAGTTCAAATTGACTTTTTAATGCTATATAATTACATCTATACCTATGTCTGTGTCTGTATCTGTGTCTGTGTCTACTCTATGTATATCTAAAAACAATGGTAATTCTGAATAAGAATATAGGATTGCTAGAAATGTTCCGTTGTGACATGCATGATCTCATATTTAGTCTCGTACTGAAGTAACACTTTCTGACTTTTTAAATCAAGTCACTGTTTTACTTTGCATTTGCTATGTGACAAATATTGTGTACCACTATATGTTTCATTCAGAATATGAATAAACATTTTTTTCAATATCAAAATAAGACCACAAAATGTTTGAAGTAAAGATACATACACAGTTTTAGGTTGCTAAACACAGCCACCACCATGCCAAGACCATCAACACCACAACAGTAATAAACCTCTTCCAGTTAGTCAGTAAAATGAAGAAATGAGAAGATTTTAAATAAGTCAATTAGAACTTATGCCATAATTCTGCTATCATGTCACCTTTATTTAGAAAAACATAAAAAAAAATTATAGGGGATTGAACCAAAAATAAGAAAGGCTATCAATCTAGCAGCCAGAGAGGAAACTTACGTGCATTATGAATGGGATGTAACTCTGTTTTGAGGACTCCTTGTCTCTTTTTCTCTTGAGTTGGCTGTAACCTATCAATCCACATCATAAACCTACTTATTTTTTTGCATTTTATTTTATTTTTTTATTTTATTATTATTATACTTTAAGTTTTAGGGTACATGTGCACATTGTGCAGGTTAGTTACATATGTATACATGTGTCATGTTGGTGTGCTGCACCCATTAACTCGTCATTTAGCATTAGGTATATCTCCTAATGCTATCCCTCCCTCCTCCCCCCACCCCACAACAGGCTCCAGTGTGTGATGTTCCCCTTCCTGTGTCCATGTGCTCTCATTGTTCAATTCCCACCTATGAGTGAGAACATGCAATGTTTGGTTTTTTATCCTTGTGATAGTTTGCTGAGAATAATGGTTTCCAGTTTTCATCCATGTCCCTACAAAGGACATGAACTCATCATTTTTTATGGCTGCATAGTATTCCATGGTGTATACGTGCCACATTTTCTTAATCCAGTCTATCGTTGTTGGACATTTAGGTTGGTTCCAAGTCTTTGCTATTGTGAATATTGCCGCTATAAACATACGTGTGCATGTGTCTTTATAGCAGCATGATTTAAAACCCTTTGGGTATATACCCAGTAATGGGATGGCTGGGTCAAATGGTATTTCTAGTTCAAGATCCCTGAGGGATCACCACACTGACTTCTACAATGGTTGAACTAGTTTACAGTCCCACCAACAGTGTAAAAGTGTTCCTATTTCTCCACATCCTCTCCAGCACCTGTTGTTTCCTGACTTTTTTTTTCTTAAGCAAGAGTATTTAAAGTGACCTGGCTAGCACCATATACCTTGTATAAAGATACATGAACCATTATTATATATATTCATACATGAATATAGTATAAGATCAATTAAGGGACAATGTGGGAGGGTAGAAATAGAAAAGCTTCTAAAGGCAGACAGAACAGGATTTGGATGGCAACCCTGCCATGCATCAAATACTTGGGCACTTGTTTGAATCTCAGTCTATTCATTTATACCAATTTTCAAGTGTTATTATATTAGAAATGATACGTCTTCTACCTGGCAGGTAATATCAATGATTAAAGTAATTGATGTGGATCAGCTCATTTTTCAGGTGCCATATTTTTCTGGATGTGTGCTGCCTTTCTCACAAGTCAGTGACTACATAAACTGTGATGAATTAAAGTTGAATGACTTTGGGAATCTGAATAATACCATAGTATTCTTTTGGTGCTCAGACTTTAGATACAGATACACAGACTGCAGTCTTTTCTACAATTTTTCTGTAGTTAAATAGCATCTAGATATTTTTATGTTGGGTGTCAAATAAAATACATTTTCATGTTAGAAGCAAAGAATGAGATTGTTTCACCTGGTGAAATTTCACCTGTGTTTCTTTTGGAAGAAGCTCTAGGCATAGCTGGAAAGGTGAGGATTGTGGAGCTATCCTTGGCTTTGAAAGTTGAGTGAAAGTTTGCTAAGTGGACAAAAACAGGTAGGACATACTGATCAGAGCAACATTGGGGAAGTACTCTGAACAAACATGCAGCTATAGGGGGCTGAAAACACAGGATGAATCTGTATTAACATGGCTAGAATGGGAAATGAATTGAGGAAAATAACCAGAGATGAGGCTGGAAGGGCAGGCTGAACCCTGGCTCTATGGCATAAAAGACTGCATACTATATGGTGTGGCTTGTGCTCTCCAAATATAGGGAGGTTTGGGACAGGAAAGCATCCTAATCACTTCTCTGATTTGGAAACATCCTTTGGATAAATGAACTGACTTAGATCAAAGGAAAGAGAAGTTAGATCTGGAGAACCCCATACCACCTTTGAAATAATTATAATAGTCTCATTTTTATAGGATAGGAAGTGAAACTTTGAGGAGTTTAAGATGCTTAATCAAGTTTTCTCAGCTGACCTCAAGGCTTGAGTCCTGGTTGTCTGACTCCAAAGGCCAATGTCTTTCATGAATCTTGTTTCTATTGTTTCCAGGCCTGTTTCTAAGAAACAGTAGGTAGGCTCAGATCAAAGTAACTTCTCCCACCAATACTCAAATTCTCACATATTAATATAGGTGAAATTTATTTATTGGAATAGACAGTGCAATTCTAACTAAAGATGTCACAAATGGCTGGCCTGTGGCTTTGGACTTTTTTGACACCGCATGGCAGAACCATGTTCTTTTCCCAGTGAGCCATCTCTTTAAGTGACTATTAGCCTCCCAGTTCTCTAGGATAAAGCATGAAGGCCAAGGGGAAGCCACTTTGCTGATCACCAAGGATAACTTTTATTAATATAACAACAAAGTGATAAGCCATTCATAATATTGGTCCAAGGTAAGTTTATATGCTTTCTCTGTGCAAAAATCTTCAAATGTTTTCAAATATGAAAGACAGCAACCATTTTTACCAACAAAATGTATTTCCGTGATAGGTAAGGCACAACATCAGACTTTTTTTTTTTTTTTTTTTTTTTTTTTGTGGAAAGGGAGTATTCAGGGTGGCAAACAGAAAAAAAGAAAAAGAAAAAATTAGAAAGTATTCGGCTTTGATAGAAAAGAAAAAGAAAAAATTGTCTTCCTACTTACAAGAGTTAACTGATTAGGGTAGTCATAGAAACAGGAAGTTTCTTAGAAAATCAATACAAGATTAAGTGAATGTAACTGGTCGGCTAAGATATCTGCCTGGAAAGCCAACTAAAACACAAACTGTTTAGAAATACCTACAATCTCTTAGACTCTGAATTTACAGTAAAATTACGTGCTTTTTTTGGGGGGGAGGGGGAGGGTTACTGTGTTTTTTTAATAAAATGTCTCTAAAACTCTTTATTAATGAGAAACTTGGACTTTTTTATAAATCCAGAATCTCCCAATTTATAGATGATTTTTAGCTTATCCTAGCCCTACCCTGCTGCCCTTGAGACATATTTATGTTTTTCTCCCTTGCCTCTGCCCTACTGGGTCTCTGTGCTTTTGCCTTCACAATTTCACAGAACTCCCCAGACTCCATCTGCCAATAAGTACATAATGTAGTCAAGGCATGGCTTGCTGGCAAGGGGTTTGGCTGTAACAAGGGATTGAATAGCTCTTTGAATTGCTACATAAGACTCAGATGTATGGCCATCACAAAATGCCTAAAATAGTGCCAGATAGTGTAAGAGCCCTTAATAAGTAGGACTTGTGACAGAATAAAGAATATGTAATCAATTCACTGGTCCTTTCATTTGACTCAAGGGCCCAGTGTTACCAGCGGCCACCAATCTGCTAGCTCTGAGAGCTGTGATCATTCATGTGGAAGGCAAAAAGTGCTGCTGCTACACATTCTGGCTCTAAGCGTTTGGAAGCCCAGTCCTACCTAGGGAATCTTGCCAAAAACGCAGGACATGCTAATGACTTGGAACATCACTGTCCAAGGCTGGGGCGTGAGGAGCTCCCTTAGCTTCACTATAGCATTTGCTTATTCAGTCCTTCAAGTCCTACCTATTTGTAATTTCTAACAGCTTTGAAATTGCATGTGTGTATGTGTGTGTGTGTGTGTGTGTGTGTGTGCGTAAGATGGTTAAGGGAGAGTGTAGAAAAGAACTTAGTGAGATATTGACTAAATTAGGAATTCATAATAAAACAAAAGGAGTCTGTGTTTTACAACAGTGTTCTTTGCAGTGGTTGTTAAGCTGCCAATAGTTTTCAGGCTTAGAATGCTTTAGACAATAGCAGAAACCTCTTGTTTACGAGCTACATTTTAAGCTTAAGGCAGCATTATGATACATTGATGGGAGGGGGCTGAAGCAATGCCTATCTTTTTGAAAGTAAACACACAGACTCGTGAACTGTATTCATTCAGGCAGCCTGGAGATGGGAACGTTTATTTCTACATTTTGTATGCAGAGGCATTACCACATTGAGAAACAGTGACAAGGGTAGTGTGTAAAAAAAGTGACATTTTGTTCATCACATGCATAGCTGACTGAGCTAAGTGTGCTTCTTCTTAGTTGTTACTTAACCTAGAACAAAATGAATGAAAACCCTAAAGTTGCTTTATTTCATGGTGTGAGAATGTAGTTTGGCTGAGAGGTTTAGTTCTCAGAAGTAGGACGTTGTAAGTCTTTCTTAAAAGCTGACAATAGGTAAAAGCTATATATAATATTCAGTTCAGCAAGCAGGCTAAGGATTATATAATCTTTGATAATGGACTAGATTAATTCTGTACATATGCCTATGTATGTACATATAATTGATGTATTTTTCTTGTGTTAAAATTGCTGTTCATTTCTTTTGATTTTGAAATCTGTTAAAAGTGTCTAGTTGTAGGAAGCAGGTGTCAACCTTGACAAAAAGTAAAATAGAGAAATGAGTGCTCTAGGGTTATTTAACATTTACTGAATTAAAGAGAATTACTAATTATTAATAAAATTTAATACTTCTACACCTTCAACCACTGACAATGTGACTTGTTATCATTTTGCTTCAAATAATAGAACAATTGAAGTAACACAAAGGAAAGAAGAAAATAACACTTTTTGGTCTGAGTCATTGAGCTAATGACAAATGGATAAAAAGTAATTATCTATAATGAAAAACTGAACAAAGCATATGAACTACTCTGGATTTCATTTTATTGGCTATGTTTAGACATGTCCTGAACTAGAGAACAAAAAAGATGAGTGAATGCAGGCCCTCTCTTATTCTTTTCAGCAGCAATGTAAATGCATCTTGATGTGTTCTTCTTTCCCAGCAAAACCTCGTTTTTTTCTCTCTTCAGATCAAAACTCCAAAATGTGAACATCAATTTATCCTTTTAGAACACTAGGACTCAATGGCATCGGTTTTTTCTGTAGATACTGATGAAATTGACATGCTTGTCTTTTAAATGTCTATTCATTTCATTTTTATAAATTTTATCTCATGAACACTTAATTAAAATCTTTCAAGTATCAATTTAAAGGGTTAGTTTTGTTTTCTTATATTTAAAAATTCTGGTACTATATTGCCAGAATCTTAGAAGTGAGTGATTCTCTCTTATCCATGAATAATACTCTTGTTCTATTCTCTTAAGATTGTTCTGAAAACTAAAATACTCTTTTTTCTTTATGTTCTGAATAGCTTTTTTTTTTTTTTTTTAAAAAAAAGTGGGCTTGATTTTCTTCTCTTCTGCATTTGGAGAAGCCACAGTAAACTCACAAGAGAAATGCCTCTTTGGTTTCATCCTGGGATACCATTTGATGTGCAATTAATAACAGTGTGTTTCTATGACCTAAAGTCAACTACATTTTGAAAGTCTTCAATTTGAGTTTTAAAACATGGATGAGTATAAGGTCATTACTTAATTTAATGAAAGCTGCTGTAACAAACAAACCAAAATGTGTACATTGACTCAACCATCTCTCACATGAAGTCTAAGTGATGGTGCTGCTCCTTTTGATTCAGTGGCCCGTATTCCTTCCACCTTCTTGCGCTGCTGTCTTCTCCATATGGTTTCCAAGGCCACTTTGCTCAATTTTATTCCTTTTCCCTGTAGGGTAAAAAGCAGGGAGAATCACATGCAATAGATTCCTATGGGTCAGATCTGGATGTGTTGCACATCATTGCCTTTTGCATTCCACTGGCTAGAACTCAGACAACGGACAATCATGACAGGGGAGGCTGAAAAATTGAATATAACTTGGTCTTAGGACGAGGAGGAATGGGTGGGCACCTGTACTCTCTTTCACAATGATGACCCTCTAAAATAATTTTGATGATTCTTCAGTTGGCACTGTAAGGGGTGTTTTGCTTATGTTCTGTGAAAGGAAGAGTTGATAATCAGGCAGTGTTTCGAGGAACTTTAATTCCTACATTCAAGTACAAAGGAATAAATATATCATCCCTACAATTCATTCTATGTACTGACTGTTCTCTGTACCTGACTAGCTTTGCATAGGTTAAGGGGCAGGCGATTTCTATTTTTTTGTATCAGTATAGCTATATCTCTATAACAAATGCAATACACCTGTGATTCTATCAATTCTACTCTCCACAAATTTCCCTGGCTCCTGTGATGAGTATTTCCAAACATCCTGAATTTAAAAAGAAAAAAAAGGTAAATTATTCCTGTAAATTCTGAAGACTCTCTCCAGGACAGCTGCATTAGTCTGGGTTCTCCAAAGAAATAGAACAAATATATAAGGCGATTTATTATATAAGACGTTGGCTTATGCAGTTATGGAGGCTGAGAAGTCCCAGAATATGCACTCACCAAGCTTGAGACCTTGCAGGGCTGATGGTATAGGTCCAGTTCAAGTCCAAAGGTCTGAGAACCAAAAGAGCCTATGGTATAAGTTATATTCCAAGTTCAAGTTCAAAGGCAGGAGATGATCAGTGTTCCAGCTCAAAGACAGATAATTAGAGTGAGACTCTTACTCTGCCTTTTTTTTTTCTATTCAGACTTTTGACAGATTGGATGAAGCCTCTCCCCACTGGGGAGGGCAGTCTGCTTTACTCAGTCTATCCATTCAAATGTTAACCCTATCCCAAACACCCTCACAGACACCCAGAATAATGTTTAACCAAACACCTGAGCACCCCTTGGTCTAGTCAAATTGATACAATAAATTATCACAATAGCTACATAGGTTGAATATTCCTTTATCCAAAATACTTGGGATCAGAAATACTTTGGATTTCTGTATTTCTCAGAGTTTGCATTATACTTACCAGTAGAGTATCCCAGATCTTAAAACCCAAGATCTGAAATGTTTCAACAATCATTTCCTTTGAATGCCATATCAGTGCTCAAAAAGTTTTGAATATTGGAGCACTTCAGATTTTGAATTTTCAGATTTGGGATGGTCAAACTGTAGCAATATAGCTGTTGCTTTGCCTTGAAGTTAGAAATCATCCAAATTTGGGATTCAGTTGTCATACAATGAGAATAAGACATTTTTAAAAATGAGGTGGCCTAACAAGAAACTTTCAGAAATGAATACTAGCTGCTACAATACTGAGAGAGTTTCACGATAAAGTCTTGTTGTATGTGTGGACTTAGAGAATAGAATCACTGTTAAGCTTCAGCATGTCAATAGGATTCACCATATTATCAAGATTTATCAAGTACTTTACAAACTGGTTGGAGGTTTACTTACTGTTTAGCCACATACTGAAAACATGCAGAAGTCAATACAATTTTAATCAGTATAGAAATTAATAAATAAAATTTAAAATTACATTATCATTACTTAGTCTATCAATTATATTATATACTTCAAATAATCAACTTTCCTCTTGGGAATATTCTAGAAGCTCTTTATGTTATAATTTTTCCCTCTTTTTATTAGTCCTATATTAGAGCTGTCATCCTAGAAATTTAAAAAATTTCACCTTTGTGTCATCTTAGCTCTTGCTCGAATTTCATTGCTGCAAATCTTAGAACTCTTTTCTCTCTCTTTCTTTTGTTTCGTTAGACTCAATCTTAAGGGCTTTTGTCATTGTTCACTTATCTGAAAGAGTATGGGGGGGGTAAAATTGCAGAATATTTGCATTCTCTAAAATGTGTTTATTTTGTTTTCACATCTGTTTGACAGTTTTACTAGATATACAAATATGACTTCAAAATAATTTTTTTCTTAGTACTCTGAAATTATTACCTTATAGTTGTTAGGCATCCATTATTTCTGATGAGAACTTTGAAATTATTATCTTATAGTTGTTAGCCATCCATTATTTCTGATGAGAACCTTGGCTTCAAACAAGTTCTTATTACTTTGTAGGTAGCTGAAATCTCTCTGTAAAAGATTTTATTACCTTTTTTGTTATGTTTGGCATTTAAGCACGCAACCGGGAGGGGATCTTTTTATGTGTCCACCAGACACTTAATACATGCTTCAGTTAAAAAAAAATTATTATTTTTTCCTCTGATTTTTTTTGGTGTTTCTATAGCATGGATTTTGTATTTGTGTTCTTAGTCCTCTGTATATAATAACATTTCTGTTTTGTAATTACATATATATGATAAATGTTTTATTTTTATTTTGAGACCATTGTATTATAGGTTTATATGCAGTTGTAAGTAATAATGCAAAGAGATCCCATATATGTCTTTCCCAATGGTAACATCTTCTAAAATGATTGTATAATATCACAATCAGGAAATTGGCATTGGTACAGCAGGAATGAAGGACCTGGTTGCCTACGCAGCCTTCTCTGGCATCACTCAGATGGGGATGAGATGCCTTATTACAGCTTGGTGAGGGTGTAACTCTAGGCTCCCCTCTCAGCCTTTGCTGGTATGGGTGAGGATGAGGCCATATTTTTTTTTCCTGATATTTGGCTAGAATAGTACAGTTATTACCTAAAATTGTTGCTAGTATGTATCTTTCCTGGTTCTTTGGTTAGTGAGAACAAGCTTTTCTTATGGCTTTTAGTCTTTGTGTGCCCATAGGATTTTCCAGTTTCTTTAGCTTTAAATTTGGGATCTATGAGGCAAAATCAAACTGAGGAAGCTTATCACCGTGTCATTCTTTGGGTATCAAGGCCCCTAGCTGGTATGCCTTATTCTCCTTACCTTTCAGAGTATTCTTACGTTTATTTTATATATAATGTTTAGGCATTTTAGTTATACTTAATGGGAGGAATGGGGAAAATTATTACCATCCCATCTTTACGGAAGCAGAAGTTAGAGCCACATGTACATTTTATCTTCTAAAATTTTATCAAACTGTCTGATTTACTAATGTTAGTCTGCCTCATTTGGTTTCTAGTAGTGTTGAAAATTCACCATAGTTTGTACTGTCTGCTGTCATTTAAACTTGTGGAGGGAGGTAAGGAAAGTGTGCTTATTCAGTCTGCCATGTTGACTTGGAAGCTCCTTAATGCCTTAAAGCCAGTGATTAGTTTATGATTACAAGATGATAAAAATGAAGGTCAGTAGCCACCATTTTTACCTTAGCATAATGGTGGTAGGAGATAAATTATTCTTTTTCTATATGGTAATTGTTGTATGGTGATGATAATGATGATGATAAAGATGATACTCTTCGATCTGGATCCCCAGAGAGGTCTTTTTCCCCCCCCAGGGTAAAATATGGAAGAAATTTATTTCCAAAATCAAAATTCTAATGGATGTACTTATAATTCTTGGCAAATAAATGCAACCAGCCTTGAACTAAGACTCTTAAGCTTAGAAAACCATGCTTATTTGTAGCTGGATAGTGATGCAAGCAGATTGGCAACTTTATCACTTGATTTCAAAAGACCTCAGGGAGATACATCTGGTCAGCCCATTATTTCTCTTAAGATGACTAAGAGAAAGCACATTCTGCCTCACATAGAACAATGATGGGTTTCTGCAGGACTGGACAACAAACTACATTTAATGATAACTGAGGCATGGTGTCTTAACATAAGGTGGATGATAAACATCAAAGCAGGTCCTATTAAATGCTAAATGTGGAGACATAATTTAGTTAGGGAAAGGGAAGTGAAAACACTCTTATGTAAATAACAGGAAACTGTGTTCCAGTTTTATAGATATTTAGAACTAGGAAGTACCTTAACTCAAAAAGAGTAAAAGTAACTTAAACATCGTTTAGGAACCATCAGAGGAAGCCTAGATTGACTTCAGCAGCACCATGGAGAGCTCTCTGGAACTCAGTTGCTGTGGTGTGTCCTTTTCTCTGCAGTTCTGTTTCTCTCTAGCCATCAAGGCCTTTAAAGAAGGTCTCTCTCTTAGAATAACTTGAGGCTGCTGCAGAAGTAGGGTTTTCCTGCATTGTCCCTGAATCTCACAGTTTATGTGTTTGAGTTGCCAAGCTTCTCCCTACAGGAGTGCTTGTTTTTCATTATTCAGCTCTTGTTTTTAGAGTTGGTGGAATTATTTACTGGAAGCTTCTGTGTTGGTATTAAGAATAGAATTATCCCCTCCCTTTTCTTTTCCCTTGGAGGCTTCCCATAAGGTTATTTATAACCTAATTTACAAGCACAAAACATTCTTAAGTTATATACAATAATAGAGAATTGATGTACTGTGATTTGAGTTTTATCATGAGGCCACATAAGGAAGAAAGAGATTTACTTTTTCTCATCCAAGAAAGCATCTAGGAAAATCACATTTTGATTATCTGCCTTCTTCATAAAGAGATTTTGGAGAACAATTACATAGGATATAGTCCAATCACAGTTTTCTCTTCTCTTGACAACAGCTAGGATAGGTTAGACTTTAGAATCAAGCATTCCTGGGCTTAAATCTTGCCCGTATCATGTCCAGATTTTAATTTTGGATAGAATACTTAACTGATGGAAGTCTTTTTATCACATCAAAAATAGGGCTAATGCCTCTACCTGGTATTGTGATGATTATATGAATTGACATACATGAAAGAAATTGGCATGGTACCCAGTCCTATAAGGTTAAAATCAGCCTTGGTCATTCATTTCTTTTTTGTCCTATGCTCAAGAAGAGAATGTAAGTAAACTTATGTAACAAGAAGATGAACCCTTCAGGCTGAAATATGTTTTTTATATAATGTAATTAATCAGCCAAACCTGGCACATCATACAAAACTCACCAACAGAAGTTTGATATGAAGAACATATACCATCCCCATTTTCTGAAAATAATGTTCTTTTTAAAAAACCATAGGCAGTCATAGGTAGTTTTTCCCTTAGAAGTTTATGGCCACTGCCTCTGGCCTTCCATGTTGTAAGAAAATGATTAAAAACGATTATCATAGGTATTAGCTCTTTACAACAAATGGAAATCACTGGTTTATTCCTAGGACACAAAACTTGAGATTTTCACTTTTGGGAATGTCACAAATATTTTCTACTGAAACCACATGAAGAGATTTGTATATACATGATTAATATACACATATCTCCTCACTGTTCTCAACTACATGAAGAGACCCTCAATGGTAACAAAAACACTCAATTCAGCTAACTCACCAGGTGGCAGCAAGGAGGGTCATGCCATTGGCTCTGGGTGGACTAAAGGCATATGGTAGAATTTTGATTATTAAAACTTCCACCTGACATGAAATAGGGTAGGATTCTCTTCAGAGGCCATACCCTGGAGGGTTCAATATCTCAGGCATTTGAAAGATTCAGGATAAGTAGTCATCAAAAGGACTATGAGAAAGATATCTAATGTATTAGAGAAATACTTTCTTGAAAAATGGCGATAATAAGATTTGGAAATAATACTGGCCAAGTTGTGGCATTTTAACATCAGAAGTATGTTGGGTGCAATTACTGTAATGAGTTGTCACACTTGGAATGGCAGCATAGGGGACGCCTAGTACTCAGGAAGCTTTGGATATAATTATTAAGCCATGTGTTCCTAGGAGAAATATAAATGGGAAGACAATAAAGGTATTAAAATAGTCAACCAAAAGAAATTCAAAGGATGAGGGCAGCTATCCCAATATACGCCTAGGATACCATGCCTACTTTCTTCACCTGAGCCAGTTCTCAGACTCCAAATCCATGAACTGAAGAAGAATATAGATCCCCATGAAGAAAGACCCTGCAATACCAAGGGTATAAAATTACTTCATCCGTTGTTTTCAAAGAGATTTACAGTCATTCACCTGGGTAACTAAACACGAGAATAAGGGGGTTGCCCAGCTATTTAAAGGTCTGTTGGACACAGGAATTAAGCTGACATCAATATCCGGGGACCTGGAAAGCCGTTATTAAGCACGCCTTACCCCCCACATTAGAGTGGGAGTGAATAGGTGCAAAAAAATGAATAAATGGAGTTTTAGCTGTGATCTGATTCACAGTTGGTGGACTGAATCCATAGCCCAGTTCTTGGCTCATTGTCATTGGTTGGGAAAAATGCATTGTAAGAAGGAAGTGCTTTGAGACCAGCAGCATCTGTGAGAGCTGTGATTTGTCTCACTATCCTGTTTTAAGTTCCTCTCCACAAGATAATATGAACATATATGAAGCAAGTGAATCTGAGTGGTATAAAGGGTGAACTGTAATGGATAGTGCGGTGTGCTGCCTAGATTCCCTTCCTTAGGACCAAGGCAGTTATACTCCCAGGTGCCAGGAATGTTCGCTGCTGATAGCTCAAGCTGAGTCCTTCTCCAAGAATTGCCCTTGCTTAAAGGGAGCTACTTTGCCAGACTTTATGTCCCCAGGGAACATAAGTAAACATAATGTGATAGGTTCAATGCACAAGTACAAATACTTTACCCATTTCCTCCATCATGGACAATTCTGAGAGACCACCTCAACTCCAGAGCTTTCTGTGGAGTTTCCTCTGTTGTAACTGCATCATAGTTGAATGTCTCCCTCTGCCTAGTTTCTTTCTCTTTCTTATGAGTTTTGCTCCTGAGATCACTCCCTGATAAAATTTCTGTAAGCAAATACTAGTCTTGGCATCTGTTACCTAGGAAATGCCACTTAAAACACATAGCACTATTTATGATATTTATTATAAATTTATAAATATATTGATAATTTTAATGCTGAAAATTGTGACCCACATAGTAGGCATATAGTAAGGAAATAGAGTGAGACAGATTTCTATGAAGGATGATCTTTCCATGTTAAGAGTAATATTTGCAAAGTGTAAAAATATGAACAATGATTATGCATAATATTAAGTGGAATATGTGCAATATAAACAAATGTAAAATATTGTCACTTTGATGTAAATAATACATTCAAAGAAGAAAAGGCATTGGAATGGACACAATGCTTATATGATACTAATAGGACTATGGTGAAATTTTCTTTTTTATTTTCTGCATTTTACATATTTTGCTATTTGGAACATAATATTTTCACTCTAAAATCTTTATTTCAAAGAGACATGATATATGGTAAAAAGTAAAGCAAATTATTTTGCAAATAAATATACAATGCATTATGTTAAAAAGGTTAGTCTCTATTTCAAAAATAATATTAGCATACTTTGATGAGCAAATTAATAGAATCAGGCAGTTGCAGCTGCTCATCTTAGGAAAATTATGCATTGTGGATACATATAGCTGTGATGGGTCACATTTGGGGCCACAAAGGAAATTTATAGCAAGACCTGAGGAAGCAGAGTTAGTGAAAATGTAAATATGCCTTAGAGAAAAATATCAGACATCTTTTGAAAAGCATATTTTATGAAGTTATCAGATTCATATAAAATCCCAAATATCATGCTAATATTGTACCTGGCATGTACGTATCAGTTTTTGGTAGGGGAAAGGAAAGAAGTTGAATTCAGTCTGGTAGCCATCAATAAGCACCATTTAAAAATAGTTTTATGAAAATCTAGAATAAGATAGCCATGAATGAAGTTAAAACAAAAAAGGGGAAAAGTTACATCATATGAAGACACTCACACTTTTAAACAATATGCATTGTTCTTGTCTGTTAGTTATATTCTTATGTTATTAAAATCAATTCAACAAATGGCAAAATAAGTTTTACAGGATTTTCTTGGGGTATGTGGAGAGATGTACGTAGGGAAACAGCATGAGCTAAGGTACAGAGGCGAAAATGCATATATTGCATTATGGGTATCGTAATGAGTCTAGGCTGTCTGATGTGAAGAGTTGATCAAAGGAAGGCAAGCAAGATAAAGTAAAGAAGTCATCTGTTAGATAAGGGTCAAAATGTGATGCACTTTGAATTTAAACTCTATTTTATGAAGAATGGAGAATCAGTGACATCTTGAGTAGAGGAACAAATCATGAAAAATGGACAATAGAAAAATTAATGTGACACCATTCATTTGTTTATACTTTCACCCTATAAATACTCATAAAATGGGATAATTTTAAAGAGAAAAGTTCAAGGAGTAAGAAGTTTAGAGACTTTCGTAGCAAACCAGCCCAGAGATGCTAAAAGTCCACATTAGTGCAGGCCAAGCGATAATTCAAAGGAAGGGGGAGATAGTTTTGTCTACGTCCTCTCCCATTCACATTTTTCTTCCATCCTCATTTAAATCTGTTTCATCTCACCTTGGTTACCTCAGAACATGAGGACATTGCCTTGCCTTTAGCCTGCCCCTGTTCAGTCTCTCCTGTGCATGGTGATTACAACTGTCTTCTGAAAGCATGATCTCTCTCACAGTCATTCTCTCTGGTCCACTGGTTTTCTCATCTTGTTTCTTCTGCATAGACTAGAAGTAAGGGCTCTGCAATACTATGTGTACCTGGAGCTCATCAGGCTTAACTTAAGTGAAATAAACCAGGAGTCTTGGCAAGACAACAGTTTGGGACTTAATTTAGAATGCTGCTTAAAGAGATTCTTTGAAAAAAAATTAAATAAGTTGTTATGCATGTTAAAATCTCTTGTGGAAAGGATTTGCTTGAGAAGGTTTATATTTGCATTTGCTCTGTATCTGATGATAAATTGTGTTTATTATATTAATGTACTGTGCATTTACAGAGAAGTACATTAATAGCACAATATCTTACATGAATTTTTAGTAATAACATTTATTTTCTTCTAAAATCTGATCAAATGTTGGTAAATCATAAGCAACTTTGTATACTTTAAAGGTTTAAGGGTTACAAATTCACAGTTGGACAAATTATTTTTCATTTAGACTTTCTAGACCAATAATTAAGTGCACATGAGTGAAAAACTGAGTATTAAAATATCGGAGAGCATCTGAATGTGATTGTTCTCATTTAATAGGGATTCTATTTCTTGGCATTCTGTGTTGAACTGTTGGCTATGCTATACAGATCTAATCAGTTTTAGCAGATAAGCACATGCTATATTAGATCCTGTATGAAAAGTTTAGTGCAAACATGTCTAGAATCTTAGAATTTTAGCATTTGAAGGAAACTTAGAAATCGCTGAACATCTTGTGTACACATAACTTCCAGGCACGGTGGCTCATGCCTGTAATCCCAGCAGTTTGGGAGGCCGAGGCAAGCGGATTGCTTGAGCCCAAAAGTCCGAGACCAGCCTGGGCAGCATAGTGAGAACTTGTCTCTAAAAAACAAACAAACAAACCAAACAAGGTCATGCAGCTTTTGTTTATGCACATTCAGAGCATGCTAGTGTACTACTTCACACAGCAGCTCTTTTCATCTCTGAGTTTGGCAACAAAAGTCTTTCCTAAATTTAGCTAAAATCTTGAACACAGGATTAATGCCACTCTACTAAATGCAGTGTCTTGTATGAAACAATTTTTCAAAGACAGGCGCCTGTTTCTTTGAACACTGGAAGCTATCTGATATTATTCATTTTTATATTTTTTTCTCCAAATGTTTGTGACCTGTTTCTCTATCCCTTTCTCTTCATGACGTAGTTTTAAAATAGTGTATTATTCACCTTCTAAACTCGCAACATTTTGTCAGTTTATCGTCAATGCTAGGGACTGAATGTTTGTGTTTGCCCTACCCCCAAATTCATAGGCAGAAACTCTAATCCCCAGTGGGGTCATTGGAAAGTAATTGGGTCATAAAGGTGGAGCCCTCATGGTAAGATTAGTGCTCTTGTAAGGAGAGACACACAAGAAAGTTTGCTTTATCTTTCTCTGTCTCTTCCACATGAGGAAATCAAGAAGGAGACCCTCACCAGAACCTGGCCATGCCTGCACCCTGATCTTTGACTTTCCAGCCCCCATATCTGTGATAAACAAATGTTGTTTAAACGACCCAGACTATGATATTCTTGTTATAATTTTTCATACTAAGATACCAAAGTAGAAAAGTAATCACTCCACTTGTGTTTTGATCAGTGTGGTACACATTTCCCACTATTAGAAAAGTATCTCATTAAAAAGCTAAAGGCTGTGTTAACGTAAAATTTCAAATGCTATGTAAAAGTGCAAACAACATATGAAAGGAAAAGGAAGTAAAAAGCCATTAGTTCTTGCTTAGGGAAAGGACTGAGAAAAGAGATATCCATAGAAAGCCCTTTTGAAAGAAAGAAAATGCATCGTTGGAAGCATTATAGACTAAGAAACAGTTGATGGAGAGGTGATCATATACATGATGCATTTGGGTATTAGGAAGTAGGTTAGTTTAGTTGTATCTTAGCATTCATGAATAAGGAAATAAGGAATAAGGAAATAAGGTTGGAAAGTTTAGTTGAAACAAAATAGTAGAAGGACATGAATGCCACTGTAAAAAAAAATAAGTTTTTTGTTTGTTTGTTTGTTTTGTTTGTTTGTTTTTGTAGGAGAGTTATTGACTTGACAGGACAAGTGTATTTTGATAGATAAATCTAGCATCCCTATGATAAAGAATGTATTAAACAGGGGAAGATATTATAACAGTAGCAACATGCAGTTGGTTCACTTTAAGTATGTCAGCAGCCATATTTCTTACAAATACTGCCTGATGATGGAATTCATAGGTAGCAAGGAGCCTGGCATTAAAACAGATCGATGAAGCAGTTTTTGTCAAGAGCATGGTGTGACCAGTTCTCATGCATCGTCCTACGTGGAGAAAGGCTGTTAGACCTGAAGATGCATCACCTTCACTTAGTGAAATGCTCATAACCTCTGCACACTGGACATTTACCAAGTCATACAGAAAGAGCAAAGTAAAAACTGCGCAAGCGCTGGCTGCCAGAAAAAGAAGTACAGTTTATCACCATCACAGTGTTGTCTTGTAATATTCCATTGTCTCCTTTCATATCATATTTTCTTATTTCTTTGAAATAGAATTTTAAATGGGCTGTTAATAAAAGTGTGTAAATTTAGTTCTTTTTTTGTTCATTTCTATCCGTGTTGGATCTTTCATCTCATCTCTGTTCCTGTGGAGCTATTATAAGAGACAGATAAGAGACTGGATTCTTGAATTCATTGTGTAGTGTTTAATCTTCAGTGGAGTCCCAGTTATCCAAGAACCTTGTCTAATGTTCTGTTTTAATGTTTTCAGGCTCTAGCAGGGAGAAGAAGGAATGAGTCATTTTGAAGTCAAGCTTTATGCCACCTAAAACTATCTGTTGTTCAGACTCATGTGATTGTTTGTTTGGAAAATTGCTCATTCCTTGCTGGCTGAGCATAAAGGTCAGCCCTATCTTCAGTAATATTTTCTCCAGTTCTGCTTCCCTTTGTCTCTTTCCATAGCTCCAAACTGGACTTTGCAGTCCAGGTAATATTGAAGTGGAACTAGGCTGTAGACTGTATATCCAAATGATAGCATATACTTTTTTCTTCATGTTAATATCTGAGACCAGCACATACTTTCTTCTTTATGTTAATATAGGAGTAGCTCAGCCAAACTAAATCGAGTTAATCTTAGGGCTTTAAAGTTTACTTTGTTTGCTAGCATTAGGGCAGAGTCAAAGTACTTTAGTAAGGAGAATATATATATATATATAAAATATATATATATACACACACATATATATTCTCATATATATTTTCAAATATATATATATATCTCATATTCTCAAATATGTATCTCATATATCTCATATACATATATTCTTATTTGAGGCAGGGTTTCACTCTGTTGCCCAGGCTGGAGTGCAGTGGCACAATCATGGCTCTTTGCCGCCTCAACCTCCTGGGCTCAAGTGATTCTCCCACATCAGCCTCCCAAGTAGCTGGGAATATGGGCATGCACCACAACTCCTAGCTAACTTGTTGTATTTTTTGTGCACCACCATGCCTGGCTAATTTTTTGTATTTTTTGTAAAGACAGGGTTTCGCCATGTTGCCCAGACTGTTCTCAAACTCCTGGGTTCAAGTGATCCTCCCTCCTCAGCCTCCCAAAGTTCTAGGATTGCAGGGGTGAGCCCTTATGCCTTGCCTAGAATCTCAATCCTATCTAAAATGTTATCATTACCTCTGTTTGCACAAGCAAATGTCAGTTCTAACTCCAGCTCACACATCTGTTAAAGGAGGGGGAAATGGGGAGATGTTGGTCAAAAGACACAAACTTTCAGTTATGCAAGATGAATAGTTCTGGAGGTCTCATGTACAGCATGGGGACTATACTTAATAATAACTGTATCATTTACTTGAAATTTGCTAAGAAGGTAGACTTTAAGTGTTTTCACCACACACACATACAAATAGTAACCATATGAGGTGATGGATATGTTAATTATCTTGATTATAGTGATTATTTCACAAAGTCTGTGTCTACCAAAACCCTAAGTTGTACATCTTAAATAGATACAATTTGTATTTATCAATTATGCCTCAATAGAGCTGGGGGAAAAAGAATACAATGATCTTTTAAGTGGCTGTTTCCAGAAGATTGTCAGGGAGTAAAACTCCAAACTCTGCTGCTAAGACACCCAGGGATGTATTGGAAGTCTACCAGTAGTACCTTTTTTTTTTTTAATTGCCTTAGCCTCATTATGAGGGACTTGGTCTTATTTTTCTTTCTTTGACTTGATTTAATATTATGTCATGTAAGATACTTACCTCTTCATGAAGATTAAATAGAAGAGATTATAGTTACAAGCCAGAACCCCCTTTTCACTATTTAGTGCCAATATCTTATAGTTAACTTTTCTTAACACTTTTTTGGGCAATTATTTCTATTCTTTTAAAAATTATTCTTTTAGCCCAGTCACTTTCTTTTCTAATTTGTCTAATTGATTCCTGGTCTTGTTGCAGCGCTAATATCCTAGATTGGGTTCACTTAACTCTTAACTTAAACCTACAGTTTCTTGTTTAATTCACGTACATTTTCCCCTTAGTTTTTGCATTTATAGTGCCTTTGATTTTTCCCGGTAGGCTTTTATCTCCTTTTCCTATTTGAAAATACTTTGAAATAATTGATATGATGATGTTTTTCCTCCAGTTATCTCACTATTTGTGCTTTTCTTTTAAAAAATGTTTTTCCTGTCATTTTAAATAAAATCTCAGGAGTAGGGGAGACAAATATGTGTTTTCAGTCTGTCACTTTAAATCAGAAATACCTATTTATAATGATACTTACTTTATCAAAGGCATTCTGGTAAAATATCGAGTAAAAAATCTTATTTCAATTAGAAAGGAAAATCCATGGAAGCAGGCATTGGTGTCTTACACTTACTAGGGGAGTGGCAAAAATGACATTTAACAAATATTCCTTAAATTACTTTATCATCAATAAAATATGATTTTTTAACCTAAACAAAGAAAATTATAAAAGCGAGTGTTGGTTGTAGAGTGGGTGAATGCTGCATGGCTATAGGAGTATGTGAAGTAGCATATTCTTAGTATGATACTCAGCTCTGGTTTAATATTCAAATTTTGATCTCTTTCCCACTTACCAGTGAATACAAAAATTATAGGTAAGTGGAGTAAGCAGTAGATTTGAAACTTTGGTAGGGTCCATGCTTACCTTGATCAACAACAGCTTGATTATATCGGCCTTTAAACTTTCTGTGCCTCAGTTTCTTCAGGTATGAAATTAAGATCATACAATGACAGGTTTGTCCAAGGCATTATGGGTATTCTATAAATCCAGAGCAGCAAAGATTTTTTGTTGTCTATTGTTTCTTTATATAGGTAAGAGTTTTTTGAATTAGTCATTTCTTAGTTGTATTTTTTTCTGCTAATTTTTCTCAGTCTTTAGATAATGTATCTTTGACTCAGGTGTATGGTTTATCATTTTCATGGTGGCATATTAGCCATTTTTGGTTTAAAGGAAACATTTCACACTAATATTATTTGGTTCATGAAGATGAAAAATTAAAATGACAAGATAATCTGTCAGCTTTGGGGGTAAGGAATTATTTTATTAAAAATCAACTTTAATTTATCTTTTAGAGAACAACATAAGATTATATTTGAAAGATATTTTTAATGTACATAGTGAAAAGAAGATTTTGTTCTTTTTTGTCAAATTGATATAGCAGTAATAGTATTAGAGAGATAAATATTAGAATGTGGAACTAACAATGGGATAAACATAGATCAATAGAACAGAGGACCCAGAAATAGACATACACAAATATGTCCAACTGATAATTGAGAAAAGTGCAAAAGCAATTAAACAGTTGAAATATAGCTTTTCAACAAATGTTGCTGGAAGTAATTGGAAAAGCACAGGCAAATGAAACAAAAGAACCTCAACTTAAAGCTCAAACCTTAGGCAAAAATTAATTCAAATGGATTATGTATTTAAATGAAAAACAGCAAACTGTAGAACTTTTAGAAAAAAATAGGCGACAATCTTTAGGATCTATGGCTGGGCAAAGAGTTCTTAGACTTGGTGCCCAGAGCATAATCAAAAAATAAAAAATTGGTAAATTGAACCTCACCAAAATTAAAAAAAAATTTGCTCTGTGAAACATCCTGTTAAAAGGATGAAAAGATAAGCCACCGATGGGGAGAAAATATTTGCAAACCACATATCTGACAAAAGACTTTTATCTAGGGTCATATAAAAAATCATTAAAAATTCAACAGTGAAAAAACAATCCAATAAGAATATGGTTAAAACACACGGACAGACATTTCACCAAGGAAGAGACACAGATGGCACATAAGCACATGAAAAGATGTTCAACATCTTTGCCATTAGGGAATGTAATTAAAACCACAGTGAGATATCACTACATACCTCTCAAAATCATTTAATTTTTTAAAAAGTGAAAATAGTAAAGGCTAGCAAAGATGAGGAGGAACTGGCTCTCTCATTCTTTATTGGTAGGAATATAAAATGGTACAGGCAATCGGGAAAACAATTGGCAGTTTTCTGTAAAGCTGAACATGAGACCATATGATTCAGCAATTGCATTCTGGAACATCTAATGCAGAGAAATGAAAACTTATTTTCACACAAAAACTTGTACACAGACATTTATAGTGGCTTCATTCATAATAGCCAAAAACTGGAAGTAACTCAAATGTCCTAAAATAGGTGAATGGTTAAAGCTGTAATACATTCATACCATAAAATACTACCTTGCAGTAGAAGGAAAAACAAATAAAAAAGCTATTGATACACACAACAATTTTTGTGAATATCAAGGGCATTACAGTAAGTGAGAAAAGCCAATCTCAAAAGGCAGCATACTGTATCATGTACATAAAATTCTCAACAAAATCCATCAAAATTACAGAGCCAGAGGAGAGATTAATGATTACTAGGGATTAGGAATTGAGGTCAGATAGATTGAGCGTTACTCTGAAGGGGTAGCATGAAGCAGCCCTGTGGTGATAGAACATTTCTGTATCTTGAATGTGGTAGTGGTTACACAAAGCTACATAGATAATAAATTGCCTAGAAGTACATACATGCACACATTCACAAATGAGTGCTTGCAAAATTGGTGGCATATGAACAGGCTCCACAGATTGTACCACTGTCAATTTCCTGGTTTTAGTCGTTATTCTAGTAATTTCACTGGGAGAAGCCGGGCAAGGGGTGCATGGGACCACACCCAGCTCAGTTTTTGCAACTTCCTGTGAGTCTATTATTATTTCAAAATGAAAAAAAATAATAAATCAATAGATAGATTCAGGTACTTTCTGACTGGTGTAAAGTAAAAATATACAGTCAGCATCCCACTACCAGCATTGTGCCAATACAGAGTATCGCAGGCACAATAAATACTTGTTGAATGAGAAGAAAGAACAGTTTATTATATCTTTTGAAGAACACCATGGCATTATCTTCAGAAAGCATTTTTGTTTTGCATCATTAAAAGAAGTAGGGTATTTTGTTACTGTTTTGTTTTTGGTCAAATCTATGTGGCAAAGAGAATAAAAGGGATAAAAGCAGAATTCTTCAAAGTAAAATCTACCTATTTGTTAACTTTTACAAGTGAAGGGTTTTTTGATTTTTTTTTTTCATGTGAGGATTTTTTTAGGATTAATACATAAATCTTAAAATGGAACTTACCATTGGGTACACACATACATACCCATACAAACATGAACACATATAAGACATGTTCAAGGAATGGGAAACAGATGGTAGAAAAAAGGAAATATTATCAAAATCTGATCCAATGACAATCTACATGGATGAGGTCGGTTAGAGTGTTGAAGATGAAGATGTTGGGTAAAAAGTCTCATATTTTATCTTCAAAAATCTCTGGAATCTACCTAGTTGAGCTACACTATCTATTCTAAAAAGTAGAGATTAGGTTTCAAAAAAAAATGAAGATTGAAATACCATAAATATGTCACATACTTCCATGTTTGAAATGACTTGCATTGCCCCAGTGGCAGTCAGATTCTCATGTTCTGTAAAACAGGTTATTGAACCAGGTTTTTTTTCTAGTGTCAGAATTGCTTTGTTCAGTTAGGTATCAAGGGTGGGTGGAAAGGCAAGGCATGTAATCTTTTTCACTTGTACTCATACATTTCAAGGAAAAAGTTGAAGCTAGGGAGGTCTCTTAACCACACAAACACACCCCCATATACACAACAACTGTTGGAAAGAACATTTCTTTATTCAGAAGATCTGTTCTTCCTAGAGGATTTTATGCAACAGTGATGTGGCTGGGATGGACATTTTTTCTTTATATGACTGAGATTGTGAAAGGAAAGACTGTAGATGTGTGTGGTCGTCCTGATGTGTACGCTTGGACAAACAGAGATGCTTGCATATCTTCCACATGCATATTAGTAGACCAAATACTAGTATAAACACTCCAATTCCATTGTAAAATTTGAGGGAATGGAAGCATTGAATGCACAATAATGCTAGGGGCAGACAGTAGGTGCTAATCATTGACATCTCCACTCCCATGAACTGCATGATGGTTCAACAACTTGTTGAATATTATTTCCTGAGAAGCTTTATTTGTTGGAGGACTTTGTAGCAATGTAAAATAAAACTTCTAGAGAATAGCTTTGGGTGATTATTACTTTCCAATAAAGTCACAGGGGGTAAAGCAAAAGGAGGAAGAATTCTACTCAGGCCATCTGAATTTCCTGGTGTTTTAATTAGAATCTACTCCAATTAACCAAAATTAATAAATTTCTGTAAGATTTTTTGTAATAAATCCAAGAAAAGCTCAGTAAAATCTTTGAAGCATTGAATTAGATGTTCTTTTTTGTGTTTAGAGGTACATTCATTAAGTGTTTCTGGATTTTGAAAAGAGGGTAATGATCCCAAGCTGAACGCTTGCTTCTTTCTTGTTGTGTTAAATAAAACTAACAGGTAAGAGGAAGTAGATCCTCTTAGATTAGCTAAACTGAGGTACCATCCCCTTTTCCCTTCACCTTTTCAGGAAACATTTAGAGACAGAATTAGAGTTCCTCATCAGCACTTTCAGACTGAGGGGCTGCCTACATGCTGAGCCCCAGTCTTGCTGTTGTTCATGTGTGCTTTTTTGAAGAACATGTGCCTGAAACATCTTTAGATCCTCTCAAGCTATCTTTATAATCTACTGCCTCACCATCCATATGGACACCACACAGTTCTGAAAGGAGGTGGTAGAGCTAAAAGCGTTCTGGCAAGTGATTGGAAATCATCACTCTGGCTCAGTAACCTCCCTCTTCTCTCCAACACGTTAGTCGAGCCAACTCCATGATATTGGTCAATAACTTAAATTAGAGAGAAAAATGTGTATTCTTATTATTTTCAAATATACAGATTACTGTGGCACTTAAAAATGCCTTTACATGTATTCATGAATCTTTTATTTTTTATTTTTTTTCTGTGTTTTTGCTTTTCTACATCTCTACCGTGGCCTGAGCTATCCCAGCTCAGGAACATCTTCATGTGTGTGGTCTACAGACACTTGAAATTCACATCACTCTCTCAAATATGATTCTTTTCAGTTTCTAGTACAATTAGTGGTCTCTCAACTAACCCAGATTAAACTGTGGCAAACTGCTTTCAGCTATTCTCTCCCACATCCCCTCTGTATACAATTGTTCGTGAAGTTGTAGAGCCTCATGTCACTCAAATGTTCAACATGGTTACCTAGTTTTTCTTTTATAGTTAACCCTTTGGTATGACTCAGATTTGGGCTCTGGTTACCCTGCCAGTACTAACAGCTTTGACTTGACATCTCCAACTTCACTTTCTCTCTACTTGAAATCAAGTAAGGTAGAGAATTTTGCAGGTATTTAGCAAACAACCTTGGCAGGCCAGAACATAAAATCACTGTCTTCTGCTCTAAGAAATGTGCACCAAAGACACCTATGACCCTTATTCCACTCATATCTCCATCAGTTCTCAAGTCTGACTTCAGTGCTTACCCAGCCCTGACCCTCACTGCCTTAACTCAGATTTAGGTGGCCATGATGTGAATTGGGGGAACCTGGTATGTGGATGTCTGTCTCACACATTACTTAGTCATTAAAAAAAAGCTAAATTAAACTAAAATAAACTAAACTAAAACTCTACTTGCTACTGCTGTTTTTTCTTTACTTGTGACTCAATGTCTCCACATTAAATTGGTTGCACTAAAATATAAATATTAAAATGTGAAGTTTCTATATCAAGCCATATGCCCCTACTAAATCAATGTTCCCGCAGCACAGCTTTAATGTGTCACACCCTTCTCAAGAATACCCAGTGCCTTTAAGATATGCACAAACCTTTCTGTGAGACAGCAGGCACTATCCAGGTAGGCTCCACATTGTCTTCTCAGCTGTGCTGCCAAGATTTCCTTACACTTACCTTCAACTCCAGACAAACAGTTTTGACAACTGGATCCTAAAGGTGGCCTGATCTTTCTTGTCTCTGTTCCTACTGCCCCTTCTTCCTGGGACACTCTTCTACCAGATTCTTATTGACACTTCTGAGATCCATTCCTAATGCTATTTCTTTTGTGAGTTCTTCCCTCATCCCTCCAACTTTTCAATCTCTCATTCTTTCTCTTCTTTAAGCCTCTTAACACCTTATGGAAGTTATCTTTCCTTGCTTTATGTTACTTATTCTCTACCAGAATATAAACTCCTTCAAGGTAAATACTACTTCATTCACATTCGCCTTACATTTCCTATCCTTGAGTAAGTCTTAGTAAATATTTGTTAAGTTTAATTAATGCTTACAGTGCTATATAATTTGTCTTTGTGCCAATTTTTTTTAAAGGATGTGATATTTTTCTATTATACATATTTGTAAATGTGTATACATGCATGCATATGTATAGTACATTGGCCATTTCAGAACATTTGCAAAATTTAAAATGTACAAAGAATAAAGTAAGTCATCTATTATTACACAAATTTAATCAGGTTAATATTTTGATGTATTTTTTCCAAGCCTTTCACATTATTTTTTAAATAAATTATTTTTTCCTAATTTATTAACCTAATATTGTATATTGATTTTTTTTTCTTTTGGTCATTAGGAATTCTTTGAAAATGCCGCTTACTGGCTCTTTGATATTACATATTATAAACACATTATCCACATATTCTTTTGTTGAAGTAAATTTAAATTGATTCCAACATTTTTCCTAATTACAAAATGTAAAAATGAAACAAACATTCTTGCACAAAACATTTTGCCCAAATTAATGATAATTTTCTTATAACTGATGTCTGGAAGCAACATTATGGACATAACAAGTATGTTTTGAAGTTTATTCCAATAATATTTTACCAGTGTATGGCCCCTCCTCAGAATATGACAGTTCCTGTCTTGCCAAACCCTCGCAGCACTGTTTCATCATTAAATTCAATCTTGGCTAGTTTCACATGCCTGATGTAGGCAGCAGTGTCCTGGAATATCCACTAAAGACTTTAGCCTGATTCTTACTGTAATTTTCTCCTCTCAGTTTCTCTAGCCTACATTCTGCCACTTACCTCCCTTTTGGCAATTTTAGATACGAGAACATCAGCACTTCTAAATGTGTGTTATCTAAAGTAGCTTGAAAGTCAAGTAGGAGACCCAATCCATTATTGATATACTAGCTGGAGTAATAGTATGACCTTTTTGCTGTCAGATGACAAATTGGAGCTACAAGCCTCAATACGGTTCATAGAAAATTAATACACTCACTCCTTTGATTAAAAGTGGCACAGTTATTTGTGACCCTTACTGTGCATTTAGTTTTAATAAAGGAGCCTGACTTAGGAACACATTTTTATAAGGCGGTAGTTTTTGCTCTGCGTTCTCTCCTGCTGTTGTGCTTGATTGAGACTGGTGCTTCCTAGACTGCGAGGTGGTGTGAGAATGACTTTGTGTCACATTCTCTAGGCTATTTTACTCCTGATTGTATCAGGCACACACCAGCAGCAGCTGACTTAAACAAGCCCTGTGTCTTCCTGTTGAGGTGTGTGGCTATGACTTGCTTCCATCTGTTATCAGCCTTCTCTGGCAGAAAAGGTAACTGGTGAGAAGGCCATGTATGTTTTGCTCACAAAAGAGAGATCTTCTTGCCCATTCAGTTATGATGACTAAACATGTTACAGATTAGTTTTTAGTGTTGGTTTTACTTTGAGAAATAGGTAGCTAGGTAAAATTAGCTCTTTAGCTATGTAAAACTCCCTCTTTCAAGGGAGAATATTTTATACAGTATTCTACTTTAAGTTGTCTATATTTACGGTACTCAGGACTCAGACATTTCACTCCATATGCAAAGTTGATGTCATTGAATCACTAATAAAACAGCAGTCACCAAAGCTGAGAGTTTTATCCTGGTATAGAGATCTATCCATACAAATACATTAACATCGTATCAAGGGTCCAGGCTTGGGCAGGGGTGGGTTGTATCTGAAGTGCTGTTAGGCTTCACCAAGTGATCAACTGTAGGCATAGAAAAACTGTAACAAAAGAATGATTTGTCAATAATTGGAATAGGCCTCAGATTTTGAGATAGCCTAATCATGTCTGGCCCACACATGTCAGAGGCCCTGTGCATATAGTCATAATATACTCCTGTAGGTTTTTTCCCCATAATAATTCCTCTGCTCTATTTGGTAATTCTGGGTATATGGCTGAAACTGAAAAGCGGGGATACCTTTGCTGTTACAGACACATTGCCTAATAGGTTAGTGGATTTATTACTGGAAGCTGGGAGTCAAGAATGTTATAGATTATTTCAGTACATGTGTTCAAAACAGACGAGAAAAAGAAAAAAAAAGAGTAACGTTGTGTTCTCCCCGCCATGGAATCAATATATAATTGTTAATTACGCGCCAGGCGCAGTGGCTTATGCCTGTAATCCCAGCACTTTGTGAGGCCGAGGCAGGTGGATCATGAGGTCAGGAGTTCAAGACCAGCCTGGCCAAGATGGTGAAACCCTGTCTCTACTAAAAATACAAAAATTAGCTGGGCGTAGTGGCGGGTACCTGTAAGCCCAGCTACTCGGGAGTCGGGAGGCTGAAGTTGCAGTGAGCCGAGATCGCGCCATTGCACTCCAGCCTGGGTAGCAAAGTGAGACTCCGTCTCAAAAAAGAAAAGAAAAGAAAAGAAAAGAAAAGAAAAGAATTGTTAATTACAAGTGATAATTAAGTGGCAAAAGAGGAAATGAAGTTATTCATTGTATATTTGGACTATTCATACAGTTTTTTTCAGAGTTTAAAAAATTAAAAATTTGGAAATGATAGTCTACATTATGATTACAATAATGATAAGACCATCACAAAACTCTCATTTTTCCATAGGCAGGTGACAGTTGTGTGCTATCTTGTATGAAACAAGTGGAACTCATGCCATTGTATGGGCCTGCATTTTCATAAACTGGAGCAGCCCTGAGCACCACGTTGTTTTTTGAACTTAATTAGAAATAATGCCCAAGTGAAATGATGTTGTCTGATAGGCTCCTCTACAGGTTGCATAAAGAAAAACTTGAAGGACTTAATAAAAGGATAGTTCTGAGTTGCAGGGAAAATTCCTTCCAGTCATCTTGAGTAGAAGTTGAAAACTCTCCCTGTCCAAACTATAAATAGTGATTGTAGAATCACCAAAGCAATGCAGCCAAATCCTTCTGCCTTCAAAATGTTAGTGTGAGACCTGTTCTCCCTACAGTAAATGCCCGCCCACAGTTTAAAGAACACAATTTTGTAAAACCTTAAGAATCCATGGCAGATTTTCTAGTAGTGTGCACCGAGAAGATATGTCACTTGGGCATTATCTCTAATTAACTTTAAAACAGCAATAACAACAAACAAACACCCTCAGACAGAAATGAAACAGAGTAAAGCTGCAGATCTCTATAATGGGAACTGAATTCCCTTAAAGGAGAGTGACAGGGCAAAAGAGAGATTTTCCAGGAGTCACAGTGTTGTGAAGTCTTCTTTAGCCAATATTAACACATATAGAATGGGGAAATGATTTTTTTTAATAGTAATGGCAGAAAGGATATGTATGCCTTTGGATAGAGCATATTCTGTTGACTACACTTAAGAGAAATACATGTTGACACAATTATATTCATGATGGAAAATTTAAACAATAGCTGGCATTTGGCTGAGGGTCTTAAAGAGATACTATAAAGTATCTAGATGTGAATCTAGAACATCAATTTTCAATTTAAAAATTAATGCTAAAAAGTTATCTACATTCTAGTGCATATTTGGAATTAAGATTTTAGCATCTGAGAGGGCACAATTATTTCAAAATATATTCGTATTTCAAAAATTGAATATTCTAAAAAAAGTTACCTACAAAGCCACATATTAATGGGAAATGATTGTATCATTTTAATCACTATTTTAAGTGATTCATTATGGTAAATCCATATTATTTCTTAAAACACTTATTAAAATTGAGACACTATTTTTAAGGAATCATGAATATGTGATTCATGTGCATTTCATTTTAGAGAATGCTCATCAAGTAAAAACCCTTTCTAACCATTGATTTTAAAATACAGTGTTGTATATCTCTAGAGACTGATGTCTCCTGTAACAGGAATTGACTATTCATTTTTCAAGCCATTCAATTATCTTTTTTTCTCTTTTCTCTGATGGCAAACTCCTAAGTGTTAAATAACTTGGTAAGAAAAAATATTATTTATTATTGCTTTCCTACATATCAGACTAACTACTTCTTTTTTCGGGTGAAATTTGGCTTCTACACAATTCCTTGCATCTAATCAAGTTCCTTTATTGTGTGTGTGCCAGGGCAGCATGAGATTTTAATGAGGAATGAAAGTTAAGTGGACAGAGGTGGAGCTGCCTCTGTCATGTGTACAATCCCAATTTAAACTCTTATCTCTGTATGAAGGATGAAATCTTTTGTTTTCAATCCATTCATTCAAATATGGCTCATTACCAGTTATAAGTGAGGCACAGAAAAAGACATTCCAATTAGCTGGTAATTAAATAGTTTCCTGGCTGTCTCTTCTCAATTTGGCAGAAGACACTGGTTGGAATGTTTTGGTAAAAATCTTTGCTTTCGTCAGGAAGGCAAGTGAATGGCTTGCCTGGATCTGTCTGTCCACTAGTGATAATGAGCAGCGATTTGGAACTGGGAAAAGCATGACTTTCTTCAGGAATCAGAACCTTCTAGAAGATGAATAAGACCTGTATACAAACAGCTAATACAACATTCTAAAAAATGGATACAAGGTATCCAAATGCTGTTATACTATCTAGAAAAGACACCCCCAAAAGTCATATTTAGGGAATCACAGTGTGGTTAGCATGTTAAGGCAGACCAAACTTAAATTCAAACACATCTGAAGGAAGCTAATAGTGATGTTCCTGAGGGAATTAGCAATACCAACTGCCACAAAATCACTTCTACTCTCTAAACCAAATCACTTTCAGAAACAGTGATATTATATGTGTTGTACACCTCTGAGCCATTACCAATAACTATTATCATAATTCCAGACAGGTACATCAAGTTTCATATCATCTATATAAAACTTGGAAAAAAACTTGAGCGCATACATCAAGATTCTTAGAGTATTGTGTCTTCCTCTGGTTGGTAAAATTATGAATGATTTTTTTAAATTATACTTTTTTTGTATTGAAAATGTCTAGAGTAAGTATCTTTTATATTTATACACATAGTGTATTCCTAGTGTCAAGTAGGATTAATGCAATATTTTAGGTCCTAGTATAATTTTATGGGTAGAGTTATGGAATTAAACATGTAATTTCTAGGTGCTGGGCGCTACACCTTATCACTATATGCCCTTTGCTATGGGGCCTATAGTAGTTGAAGCTAAATGTTTCAAAAAAGTACAAGAAAGTGATTAAATAAAAATATTTTAAAGGCTGATAGATTTAATTTTAAATAAGTAAATTACGCATACGATTTCTGCTTATGTTCACACTGAAAACACATATTAACACAACTGATTGGTTTAGGACCCTAGACAGTGTTACTTGTGACCAAAGTTGTGGATTTAATTCTTATAGAAAAGTTCATTTTGCTCTCATTTGGAGCCATAAACTGTATCCTGATGACTGTACCAGAAATTATACTGATTTATTTTCTTCATAAATCAGACAATATTACTTGTAATAGTATTTATCCTAACACATCATTTTTGTGTTTCATCAAAATTTATTTAAAAGTTAGAATAATGTGCTATGGTTCGGATTCTTTACTTTTTCTTTCTGAATAGTTAGATATGTGAGGCAAACATGTTTTTGCTAGAAATATATGAATAATTCACTGATACACATACACACACACATATAATGATACATATCAATTAATTTACCCCATAAATGACATCCAACTTTCCATTAATTGAAGCATTGAGGCAAGTCAGTCTTTGCATTAGGCACAAAGTGCTTTGCTCAAAGAAAAACAAAGGAGTGGAAGCAGGTGAATTGGCAAAACCATTTGGAAGTTAGAAATTTTATTACCTTTTTTCAACCCATCTTGGCTGCACTCTTCCTGATTGCCAGGCCATTCTATTTCATTGTCTCCAGTGAAGAACTGTGTAGCCAGCAAGTCAATGATTGGCATATTGTATATTGTGATTTTTATTATTACTTTGTACTTTGTAGGTCAAACAACTGCCGCTTAAACCACAGTGTAAAACTAGCTCTGTAAAACCAAAAGCGCTTTAGATAGATCTCAATCAATTTAAAGGGTTATTTCACCAAAGTTGAGGACGTGCCTGGGAAAAGGAGACCCAAGCCACAGTAGGATCTATGGCCTGTGTTTTTTTCCAGAGAGCATTTTGAGGACTTCAGTACTTAAGGAGGGATGAGTGGGCAGGAGGGAAAGGGGAAAGAAAAAAAAAACAAGGGAGGATAAGTAGTGAGATAAGGGGTCATATTCTTGTGAAGCTTTGATTAGCTGCCCACTGAATCTACATAGTAGGTGTGAAGGGAGGGTCTAGAAGAACAGTCAATTATGCATTCATCTCCTGCTATTTGGTAAATCTGCATTTGTCTCGGCTGGTAGAGGGATGATTTCTAGTCTTGTCTTTGTCCTGAACCTGTGAAGATAAGCTGTTAATTTAGATTGTCAGGATGAGGGAGACCACTTGGGAAGCTATGTGGCCTTCTATCTTGCAGCTATCTATTTAGGAACAAAGGTAGTTTTTTTGTGTGACTCAGTTTCCAAGCTTAACTTTTCCCTTTGGCTTAGTGAGTTTGATGTCCTGACATTTTATTTTCCTTTCACTCTTCCATGGTCATTTCCACATTTGTAAGATGGGGCTTGTGGTTAATATGGTAACCCTGTATCTAGAGGGTGTGCTGAATAATTAACAGATATTGTGAGTGATCAGTAATCCTATTAAATGTTGTTCCCATTTTACAGATAAGGAAATTGTGAATCAGAGAAGATAGTTTACTTAAATAGTTTTTATCTAGGCCTACTCAGTGAACATTTATCTACCTCTTTTGGGACACACACACACACACACACACACACCACATTTTTGAAATTCTGGGAATATAAAGATGAATGAGGCACAGTCTGGCTCAGAGTTCAGTACAACAAAACAGAAATCTCTTTGGATAGTTCAAGAACAAACGGATTTAATACTGGGAGTTAGTGTTTAAGGCCACATTGGAAGACCTAGGGCAGTGGAAGTTAAAGGAGGACTACAGCTGAATCCTTGGTTTTGAGGCCACATCCCTGTGGAAGTGATTCAGAGTCAAGAAACTAGTGCCCACATTGGCTACTGCTGTCCCGGAGGCCTCTCACCTCTAAGTGACACCGAGAAAGAGGAAGGTGGGGTTCAGACATTGCTGCAAACAATCTCTCAGCTAATAAGGTGCTTAGCAGCTGCCACTGCAACAAAAAGGTGACTGCTGCCTCCCTTTGGTCCCTTAAATCTTGCTCAGGTACATCTCATTGGCAGAACTCTCCCATTTAGAATGCTATGTTTAACCTTCCATTTCCACCTTATAGGGTAGGGGATGATGTGAGTGGAAATGGATTACAGGCCAGGCACCAATAGACCTACAGAATATGTAACCTCTGCATTTAAGGAGCTCACGGTTTAATAGTGGACGCAGACAAAGAGACAGTTTCAGGGTCATATGGCAAGTGCAGTGATGGACCCAGGCTTTTGCTAGTGATGGCAGAGAGTGGGCTTTTATGAGTGAGAAGTGAGAGAAGAGATCAAAAAAACTTCCTGGAAATGATGTTTTTGGAGCTAAATCTTAAGGGATTAGTAAAACCAGATTATACTCAAAGGGAGGGAAGGCCACAGTAGGTGTGTGGGAGAGAACAGTTAACAAGCCGTAAAACAGTATGTTGACTACAAAAGTGAAGGGGAGGCAGGAAAATGACATGCACTTGGGCATGACTGGAAGCGAGGAAGATCACAGTGAGGGAAAGAAAGAAATCAAGGGCTACGTTCTTGTTTTGGACTTTGATGCCTGACAGGTGACACTAAGCCAGAATTTTAAGCTAAATCTACTTGATTGCAAAGTCAGAGATTTCCCTGCTCTTTCACTCTGCCTCAACTGTGATTGGGTATTGATCAAGTATATCTAAAGCTGTGTCCAAGAAAGCCCATGACATTGCATTGTGTGCAAGTTATGTGTATATGTTTGCATGTTCATGTTTTTCAGGAGAGAAGAAGAAGCATGACCTTCTTGTGATTCTCAAAGTTTAAGAATCATTTGAGCCGGCCAGGTGCAGTAGCTCACGCCTGTAATCCCAGCACTTTGGGAGGCCGAGGTGGGCGAGTCACCTGAGGTCAGGAGTTTGAGACCAGCCTGACCAACGTGGTGAAACTCTGTCTCCACTAAAAATACAAAATTAGCCGGGCGTGGTGGTGCATGCCTGTAGTCCCAGCTACTCAGGAGACTGAGGCAGGAGAATCGCTTGAACCTGGGAGGAGGAAATTGCAGTGAGCCGAGATTGCGCCACTGCACTCTAGCCTGGTAATAGGAGTGAAACTCAGTCTCAAAAAAAAAAAAAAATAATAATAATAATCACTTGAGCCAAGACTTTTGGCTTAATAGCTGGTGTTCCTTTAGTTTTATTCTAGAGATTGCTTCAGGTAGTGCAGCAGGTTAACAATTTTTAAAGATCTTTTTGCCATAAAGTACCAAGATGTTGGTTTCATCACAACAAAAATATTTCCATGTGCGTTGCTGAACTCTCAAGAATGTGAGACAAATCCTTCTAAGCCAAGCACACACTAAAATCTACAGGAGAAAAACAGGAGAGCAGGTGAAGGCTGGGAGGAAATTCTTAACTACAGGAACCTAGAACTTTGGAGAATAGTGAGTGGTTGCCTGAATTGTAGGGTGCTCAGGAGGAAAGACTAGGCTTGCACACATTGAGGGCAAGTGGGGGACTGGATGCGAGACCTCATTCCTATAGGTGCTACATTCTTAGGGAAACATTAAACTAGGAAAATACCTGCTGGCCAGGAAACCTGTAAGGAAACCTCTCTATGACTCCCATATCCAGGTGAAATAATAATTATTAATAATAATATTAAGATATATGAGTATTTGTCTTAGTATTCTCTTATTTAGGTATATACTATCTTCTTTTTATTTATACATATTTCATAACTTTAAAATATACTATGCCTGTATTCAGATTCATTTCATTATTATAATAACCTCTCAATGAATGAAAACCACATATTTACAAAAGAAGTAAGACACTGGCATAAAAAGTAAAAGTTTTATCTTAAGCTATTTTATTATTTGTTGAACTACTATTGCTTTATAGGGTATTATTCTCAGAGGTAGAAGTTGCTTCGCAAAATGAAATTTGGCAGCTCTGCAAATCAATATGCAAATACTAGATTAATTCACTACTGCTCGTAAGTGTCCAAAATAAAAACAAAATATTTTTATAGGGTTATGCCCTGCAAGTCTTTGACCAGAGACTCTTATTCAAGAGAACATTTAAATTGAAAAAATACAATTATTTTAGTTCCTTTACTTTTCTTTTCTTCCTGCTTGTGCTCTAAATAGAATTCAGAAGAATGCCGAGTATTATGATGCCACTTCAGAGGCACTTCTAGTAGGCTAGTTTTTTTTTTCTTTTTAAAGAAGACCTTTGTAGTGAGTTCAATGTGTAATTTTGAAAGAGTAGCAAGGATCAGATCCATTTATGTAGAATCATTAACATACTCAAGTGCAGTGTCAAATGTTGCCATTCATTTGGGTTAAGGGTTCCCTTCATATTTTGGAATGGGCTAGGGCTGTACCTATTTAATCATGGGTAGGAAGAGGAGGAGGCTGGCTTTACATTTTCCTCCTGTGGAGTGAGATCAGAGAGATTCGATTTTCATTTAACCTAGCAAAATACATCCTTAAGTTTCTTACAGTACAACTCTGCATTTTTATTTTGCTTAAGCATGTTACTTTCTTGTAGTTAAAATAAGGAAAAGATAATGTTTATAACTAAGTTGATAAAATAATAAGATAAAGAGAATAAAATGAGTTTTGTGTCTGGCATTTCTCACACTGTAGATGACTAGATAGGGATTTAATAAAATATTTTATTTAAAAAATAGATTTTAATATAAATATAAATAATTTAAATGAAACCTTTATAGAATGTAGATTCATTATTTGACAAATCTCTAATGACTTTTGTTTTTGTTTCTTGGCCTGTACTGACTATTAGCAGTTTATAGGCTTAAACTACGACCCTCTTAAAAATGCTGAAATTCTTATCAATAACCTATTCTTGGGAAGGATTTGATTTATTATACATTGCTTCAGTTACTGTATGAAAAGTACAATGTTTAACGTGGTAAGGTTCTTCTTTTCTCTCCTTAACTCCACAGATAATCTCATCTAAGTATGTGAAAGAATAAATTTGTATACCATATAACCTTTCCTAAACCTTCTCAGTCTATTAAAGCATATTTTGATTGTTTTTTTCTCCATGTTACTCTAGGATAGTTTCCCAGCGCGATTTGGAGGAATTCATTTTGTCAATCAACCATGGTATATCCATGCCCTGTACACCGTGATCCGGCCTTTCCTGAAGGAGAAAACTCGGAAAAGGGTATTCTTTTCTTTGATTTTTAATCCTTTCTCTTCCGCCATCCAATGAATTATAATGCATAATGTGTATATAATGTTAGCTATAGTAAAATGTACTTCTACATTGTATAGAAATCAACATAGAAGACATTTTAAGATTCTTCCAGATTTTGTGGTTGTGAACAGTATATCTGTGAAAGAAGCATTTAAAAGCTAGCTCTCCTACTTGCTCACAAAAAGGAGGACATTTTAGCATATTCACTGTTTGTTAAAGACTCAATTTAAAGGCCAAAAAAAACTCTTATGCCATGTTACTATAGTGTTATTGATGCACTTAATTTGAAGTAAAGTCTAAACAAAAGTTATAATTTTATATGCTGGTAAGTGGATGTTTTTTCACAGTATGTACCGCAATGAATGTAGTGAAATCTGTGGTATCTAATATAATTTTTTACAATGATTATCATGATCAGTCACACATTTTGAAAAGAATGCTAATGTGTGGAAATTTTAATATTTCTTTAAATTATATGTTACTTGAAGTCTCTTTAAATTCACTTTAATCTAACAATGAGGATAGTCAAAGTGCATAAAACAAAATAATTTTTCTGAGATTGAGATAATTTATGTAAAACATTTGATACAGTGTAGGGCACAAGGTAAATACTGAACACATTATTTTTATTAAAATAAGTCTTGATGTACATTTCACTAATTCTTGCAACAGCTCTGAAAAGTAAATTTAGTAACCATTATTTCCTGTTTTAGAGCTGAAGAAACTAAGTCCTGGAATGGATAAATAACCTGCTTACTCACATACACAGAAGAAAAGTTGCAGAGCTAGTATACAAACCCAAATATTTCAGCCCCATGTATAGAGCTATTTTTACTTCCTGGTGCTGTTCCCAGTTTTCGAATGATTAGTTCCACAGCAAAATACATTTTCCTCTAAATCTATATGGAAGATAATTTTCCATGTTTCTCAATGACCTAGAAGGCACTTCAGGTAGAAGCTTTATTGTGAGTGTGAAAGTGCAATAAGAACACATGGACACAGGAAGGGGAATATCACACACCGGGGCCTGTTGTGGGATGGGGGGCGGGGAGGAATAGCATTAGGAGATATACCTAATGTTAAATGATGAGTTAATAGGTGCAGCACACCAACATGGCATATGTATACATATGTAACAAACCTGCACGTTGTGCACATGTACCCTAAAACTTAAAGTATAATTTTTAAAAAAGTGCAATAATTACACGTCTATATCAAGCATTAATGAACAAAGGGCTTACTGTAAGTGAATTTGCGCTCCTGAAAATACAATAATTACATGTTCATATCAAGCATCAGTGAACAGAGGGTTTACTGTAAATGAATTTGTTGACAATGTTTTAATAGTTTAGGAGGAAGAATTCTATAAACAATTATAATTTATAGTAGAAATTGTTTCTACCACCAAGTATTAAATTAATTCATATTTTGGAATTCAGAAAGTTTATTGAAATGCCTCACAAGTGCTTTTGCAAGATTTGCTTTAATGAAAGGATGATCAAGTGATCCAAAAAACCTGCAGGGGCTTTTAGTACAAATTATACTGGTGAGTGCTTATACAGTATTCACTCAATGCCACATGCTGTTCTCAGTGCTTTGCATAAGTTAACTCATTTAGTACTTACGACACCACTTTGGAGTATATATTGTTATTTTTCTCATTTTATGGATGGAAAAATTAGGCTTGGAAGGTTAACCAATTTGCTCTGAATCACAGCTAGCAGATCGTAGAGCCGGATACGTGAATTTATGGGAAAGAGAGTTTCAGGCAGAAGGAATAGCAAAGACAAATGTCTTCAGGTAGAAACACACCTAGTGTATTTGACAAACAGCAAGAAGGTAGAAAAGCTGGAGCAGAATGAGCTATGGGGGCAGATGATAGGGGATGGAGTAGGTGGTAGAGGATGGGATAGGGGGGACTGCTTTGTACCAGATCGCACAGGGACTCATATACCATTGCTGGAATCTGGGCTTTCAGTCAGAATGAAATTTGAAGCCCTTGAAGGTCATTGAATACAGGGGTTACTTGTTCTGAAATGATTTTTAACATGATTCTGCTCTGTTGAAAAAGACTGAAGAGGATCAATTCTGGGAAACAAGGAGTGCACTGCGTTTTGGGGTTTTGTAATTGAATTGGACAGCTTTGACAACCTAGAAGCATGCACTGCTAGCATTATTCCAGATGGAAGGAAGGTATCTAAACTTTACCATTTTAGTTAAAATTATATGACTTGGAAATTTTCATATGAGAAAATAATTATATATTTAAATACTTTAAATTTCTACTTATATAATCAATACACAGTGCAAAGCTATTAAATTTCTTCACTGATATTCCAAGTGAGTCAGTATCACAATATTACTCACACACCTTATGCTTCGGATGCTATAAGTCTATGTTCTGAAAAGCTAGTAAAAGAGAACTGAGGAAGCAGTTGTGAATCTTTTTCTACAAACTCAGGTGTGCAAGAATCACCTGCTTCATTTTCTTAAATTAAATTAAATTTGACTTTGAGTCTCCAACTTACTGGGCTGCTGGGAATATCACCCTTAGTACAGGTGTCCTTTTCCCTCAAAAGCTCACCAGTATCTGGAGTCTTTCACGCAGAGCCAAACTTCCCATCCATCATGGCCACTTCTGATGTCCTCATTGTTCAAACCAATATTAGTTCCTTAAACTAAGGTCTCCTACTGCTCCCAAGTTATCTGTGAAAAAGGGGTATCTTTGCAAAAGCTAAAATCCAATGAAACCCACTACCCTAGTGTATTCTTCAGCAAGTCAATAGTTGTGCTCCTGCTACTTAAAAGTTGATGGGAAACAGGTTTTCCTACTAATTGGCACAAATTTCTTCCTTTTAGTCAATATGGCCAATGTTGTCTTCTACTCCTTGTTGATTCTCAAAAGACTTTCATCTGTTCTTTTTCACTCCAGATCACTTAGCATAATCTCTTTAATAGCACAGTGTAGAAAAGTAAAATAAAAAATGGAAGTATTATTCAGGCTAATTCTCAGAATTGTAAGGTATTCAGAGGCACAGGAACCAACAAGGACCAAACTTCTTGCATGAAATGGAGGAAGGAAAAACATATAAGGAGAGAAAAATAGTAAAATGTTAATAAATGATGTTATTACACAGAACTAGTGAAAACAAAGAAAAATCCAAAAGTAGAAACTTAACAATTGGGCAATTGCAATGCATCTTTACTGCCTGGTCCAGAGATGCAATTCACATGTAAGAGTTCTAAAAGAGCATCATCATATAATATATATTTTTTCAACAAATCTTGGCTTTGGAGAAATAAGAGCATTATACTTAATGAATTGCCAAGACAATATATGCATGATTTAAGTAAGGAAATTATATGATATATTAGAAGTTGGGAGGTGCTGTCAAGAAACATGATACATAGAAAGTGGATAGGCTTCCCAGGTTGGGCAGGGTTACAGTATTAAATAGGTTTACCAAGGAAGGCCTTCCTGACAAGGGGCCTTTTAAGAAGAGATGTGCAGGATGTAGGTCAACAAGCCATGAGGACATTTGGGAGTAGAAATCTCCAGACAGAAGAAATATCCATTATAAATGTTCTGAGGCAAGTGCATAGAAGGAGATGGGTTCAAAGAAGTAATTCTTATAGGACCTTATAGTTTCATGCTAAGAGAAAGAAGTCAATGGGGAATTGTGAGGAGAAAGATATGACCTGACTTATATTTTGACATGGTCATTCTGGCTGCCCTGTTGAGAATAGAGTGTAGGTGGAAGAGTGGATATAGAGAGGACAGTTAGGAGGCTCATGCAAGAGCACACCTGAAAGGATAGTAGCTGTGTTATGGGTGTAGGGGTAGAGCTAATCAGAATGATTGGATTTGGGATACATTTTGAGGATAGCACCAAAAAGATTTACTGACAACTGAGATGATGAGGGGAGTAAAGGGCTGAGTTGAAAGTTTTGGTCTGAGAAAGTGGAAGAATAGTGACACCATTAACTGATGTTGGAGATAGGGAGGAGCATATTTGAGGTGGGGGAAGATTATGAGTCCAATTTTGAACACGTTAAATTTGCAGCAGCCATTGAATATTTAAGTGGATATTTTAAGTGGAGAGTGGAAATACAGTTATGGAGTTTGAAAAAGGGGCCTGGATTCAAGACATATATTTCTAGTGCAGGGATATTATTTTAAAGCCACTGACTGAATAAAATGAACTTAAAGAAATCACCAATGAGAAAATATAGTTAAAGAAGAGAAAAAATCCAAAGACTGAGACCAGTAGTTCTCCAGTTAAAATATTAGGAAAATCAGGCCAGGCGCAGTGGCTCGCGCCTGTAATCCCAGCACTTTGGGAGGCCAAGGCGAGTGGATCATGAGGTCAGGAGATCAAGACCATCCTGGCTAACATGGTGAAACCCCGTCTCTACTAAAATACAAAAAAATTAACGGGGCATGATGGCGCGCCTGTAGTCCCAGCTACTCGAGAGGCTGAGGCAGGAGAATCGCTTGAACCCAGGAGGCGGAGGTTGCAGTGAGCTGAGATCGCAGCACTACACTCCAGCCTGGGTGACAGAGTAAGACTCTGTCTAAAAGCAAACAAACAAACAAACAAAAAAGATATTAGGGCAATCAGCAAAAGAGACTGCCAAGAAGTATTTAGGATGGTAGAAGAAAATCAGAAATGCATGAAGAAAATGTTTCAATAAACAGAGTCATCTATTATACCCATTGCTACGGAGGGTTAAAGATATATAAGGACTGGGAATTGGATACTGAATTTAGCAATGAGAAGGACCTTGACAAAAGTTGTTTTCATTCAGTGGTAAGAGACAAAGCCAGACTGGATTCCATTTAGGAAAAATGAGGAGAGTATTTGGACTATGAATATAGACAATTCCTTGGGTGAATTTTGCTATAAAGAGAAGGAGAGAAATAGGAAAGCAACTGGAGATGGAAGTAGGGCCGAGAGAGGTTTTATGTGTCTGTGTGGGGGGCGTGGAGTCAGGATGTTCTTTCTCTGATGGGAAAGATCCAGCAGAGAGAGGAAATCTGAGGATGTGTGAGAGATAGGAGAGAACTGTTAAGAAATACAACCGAGTAGGGGAGAGAGGACGAATTCTAGTGCGCAGGTGGAGAGGTTGCCCTTTGTAGGGTTTATCTGTTCATTGTACTAGCAGTGAAGGCAAAATACATAGACACAGATGCTGGTGGGTGGGTTGATGTCATCTGGTTGTCCTATTTTCTTAGTGAAAGTGGAAGCAAGGCCAAAGCGGAAAATGATGCTGCGGAAGGAGGCAACAGAGTGTTAGAGAAGAGAGAGGAAGTAGCGTGCTAGGATTACACTGACTGCTCCAAGGATTTATTACCATGACTCTTGCATGAGTTGAAGAAGATTTCTTATGTGAATGATCCCATTTGATAAAATAAAAGTTATATATCTAATAAAATAAGGGTTGCATGTGCCATAACTTAACTTTCACAGGAAAATTATTTTCATTTCTTCTTATAAGAAGAACACAGGGGTGCACATGTGTTTTCCTGGATATAAATACTGGCTGTTGTGCCCTCAGACAGGAGAGGGAAGGTGTAAAGTTTGCAGTTAACCTGGTGTACTTTGGGGCAGATGGCCTCTTCCACCTCCTGTGGGCCTCATGTCATGTACTCCAGACAGCTGTTTGCTCTGCCTATTTTGGCCAGTGACCTGCTGTTTCTGCTTTTACTCTTCTATAATTTGTTGAAAATGCTTATTAAGTGGCAACTACCATCTTCTAATTTTATTTGATATTGTAGAGTAATCTTTCTTTGTTTCCCAATGTATTTACTTCAGTGGATTCTGAAGGTACAGAAAGCAAATATGAATGTGTTAGCTTATTCTTCTTGAACTCAAGAATGAAATTATTTTTATGACTTACTATAATTTTGAAATAAATATTATATAAATGTAGATGAGACAACAGTGTTGTAGCAGAGAAGGCCAATCTGTAGTTTTGAAACTGAAATGAAAGAAGAGCAAAGGTAGCAGTTTATGGAAAAACAAATCTTGAGTATGTGGCTTGAATATGCCTCAAGTTTTTTTTTTTTTAAAGCACTATTTAGGATGGTAGAAGAAAATCAGAAATGCATGAAGAAAATGTTTCAATAAACAGAGTCATCTATTATACCCATTGCTACTGAGGGTTAAAGATATATAAGGACTGGGAATTGGATACTGAATTTAGCAATGAGAAGGACCTTGACAAAAGTTGTTTTCATTCAGTGGTAAGAGACAAAGCCAGACTGGATTCCATTTAGGAAAAATGAGGAGAGCATTTTGTCTATAATCATAGACAAAATGATTAAGGTATGCATACAGCTTTACATTTTTAATTCATTGTTTCTTTTTCTATTTGGACAGTCAGTATGGAAATCTTTAGTAGAGAAGATACTGGCAACATTACAGAACATAATGTCCTTTGGGACATGAACTTCACTCAGCCTTTCATTATGACGATGCTAATCTACTTTGGTTATTTACATCACCCACTTTGCATTATAAAACAGTAATTTAGTGGTTACAATATTCTTATTTTTATTGATGATAAAGAGAAAGCCTTGCAAGTGACAGCTTTTTGGTGTAATAACTTGCATAGGCTCTGTAATTGATGAGTCCCTTATGAGAAGGGTCTGTTTTCACAGCATTCATTATACACATCATCAAGTTTGCACAACTAACACCAGGATGATGTACAGATCAGCATGTACGTATTATTCTGCCCATGTCCCTGCCTATGAAGAAGGAAACCAAATTTGTGGTTGCAGCTCTTTTACCCAATAACTCTCTGACCTTCCAGAAATTACTTAAAGTGTCTGAGCCTCAGGATTTTGGTATGATATATTAGGATAACAGTACCAGCTCTGCCTGTTTTACAGAGTAGATGACTGGCTAAAGTACTTTAACAGACATGCGAAACTCATATTTGCTATTGCTATCCTCACATCCCCCCTGTAGGATTTAGATGGTATTTAGTTTCCTCTGTGTCTTTCCCTTCCTCCCGTCTTCTTGCATTTATAGATATTTTTGCATGGTAACAACCTGAACAGTCTACACCAACTAATTCATCCTGAGATCCTGCCCTCTGAGTTTGGAGGAATGCTGCCTCCTTATGACATGGGGACATGGGCAAGAACACTGCTAGACCATGAATATGACGATGACAGCGAGTACAATGTAGACTCCTACAGCATGCCTGTGAAGGAAGTAGAGAAGGAACTCTCCCCAAAGTCCATGAAGAGGTATGCTGGAGGTAGACTGGGGAGTGGGCTGGGCCAGGGCAGGGAGAGGCATCCTGAGTCAAACTCAAAGCTTTCTGTTTTTCTGTATACATTTTTCTGGTGGGATTTTAAAACTCTTTATGCCCTATGATTGTATGTCTAAGAGTTTTGAGTCAAAGATAAAGTCATTTTCTTATAGTGAGAACATTTAAAATTTATTCTCTTAGCGGTTTTCAAATATACAATACATTATTATCATATATTTGAAAACTGTAGTAACCCTGATGTATGATAGATCTCCCAAACTTATTCTTCCTGTCTAATTGAAACTTTGTACTTTTTGATGAATATCTCCCTATCCACCCCCCCAAACCATCCTGCCTCATCCCAGTGCTTGGTAACCACCATTCTACTATCTATTTCTATGAGTTCGACTTTTTTTAGATTCCACATATAAGTGAAATCATGCAGTATTTTTCCATCACATTGTATTCCATAACTATATGCAATTATCTGTCAATTAAGGAAAAGATAAAGTAATTTGAGGTAACCTCAACTTAGTGTTGTTCCAAATTCACAGACAGTCTAGCAGGGCCCTTGGAAGTCACCAAATCTGGTGGTTTTCAAATTGTATCCTGAGAAACCAAAGGTTTTGAGGGGGTGCCTTAGGCCAAGTAGGTGGAGTAGAGAGAGTGCCCATTTCCACTGTTGTGGGAGCAACTCTCCTATAAGCAATTTATTGGATTTCTGTGTAAGATTTCTTTTGAAGAAAGCAACCACACACACCAGTTCAAACACTGTGTTCAAAGTTTCTGGTCCTTTTTCAATATCTCTGCCAAGTCTTTGTCTAAAGGTCTAAACATTACTGGTACAAAACATTGTATTTCACTTCAGTTTTAATCTTTATAGAGTTCATTGTTGAGTCAGAGTCCAAATACCTGCTTTGACTCTCACAGCACTTTTATGCCTTTTATCTTTCAATCAATAGTCTGGGGAGTTGTCAGACATTGCACAAATGCATACCTGGCTCTGAGTTTGCATTCTGTCACAAACAAGTAGATGTGTAATTCTCAGACTTCCCAGGCAACCACAGCTCAGGGTCCATTTGGATAACAGTAACAAATATTACTTCTCCAGTTCATTTCACATTCACAGAAGTATGGGCACCGTAGCCCCTGCAAGTCTCCCCTCACCTAGCTCAGGGAGGATACAAGGACAATGAACGGGTCATGCCAATGTCTGGCATCCTTCTCTGATGAAAGCCTTAAGGCCCTTTGCCCATAGCTCTGACTCATGGAGTAATGTGCCTGTTCTTTAAGGATGGTCTTCTTTTTTTTTTTTTTTTTTTTTTTTTTTTTTTGAGATGAGTCTAGCTCTGTCTCCCAGGCTAGAGTGCAATGGCGCGATCATGATTCACTGCAACCTCCACCTCCCTAGTTCAAGGGATTCTCCTGCCTCAGCCTCTGGAGTAGCTGGGATTACAGGCTCCCAACACTGCACCCAGCTAATTTTTGTACTTTTAGTGGGACAGGGTTTCACCATCTTGTCCAGGCTAGTGTCAAACTCCTGACCTCATGATCCACCTGCCTCGGCCTCCAAAATACTGGGATTACAGGAGTGAGCCATTGCGCCTGGCCAGGATGGTCTCTTTTATGCTGCTGCCTCTGTTGTGATTGTTGTTAGTATGTGTGTGCATTGATTTCCTCTCTCCAGGCTGCTGCACAACTCCTTGGAGAGAACGGAAAGGCCAGAAATTTTCCCTGCTCTAATTTTCCACTAGTTAGCAAGCTTATATTTAAACCAACTTTAGGCTTCTTAACTCCCTTCTTTTAGAACAGAACTTCTCAAGATCTCTGCTCTCCTAAGGGGTTCATGGATGGGCTCTCAAAGGATTCTGTTAAGTGCTAAAAGTTGTATGCAAAATTTTGTGTGCGTAAGTATGAATGTACTATATGTATATGTCATGCATATATTTTCTGGGGAGAAGTCATATATTTCATCAAATTATTTGAAAGTTTTTAAAAACAAAAGTGGTTAAAAGCAACTCCCCCTAAAATAGTTTTCTTCTAATAAAATAATCCTAATGATAACAGTTGTTATAATCTATCATTTACTAGGTACTTTTCATGAAGTAGGTGTCTTTTTTTTACATTAATTTATAAATCCTCACAACAACCGTGTTAAACAGATACTGCATCCTCAACGTTAGGTAGTCTATATATAGTGGAGCAGAGGGCTCCACTGCATGAGATGTGGAGTCTTTCACACCACTGACATAAAGCCTGCCTACCCTTCGTGGCACAGAGGCCCTTTCTCAGAACTGAACTACATAAGGATTTGGAGGCAGCTGTCATCGGTGTCCACTAGTGTTCTTCTTTGTCAGCTAATGAGGCCCTTTTTCTTCAGCCATTCTGCCTGAGGCATGATTCCTCATGTGGCCCATCACGTGAGCACATTTTTCTCTGTATCTTCTACACATCACCTGCACTCTGCTCAGCTGCACCCACCCCCTAAAAATTATTTAACTGTTCTTGTTGATTCCAGCCTTACCTGCTCCCCTACTCCCAATTTATTATCCACATGGCAATCCAAAAATCTTTTTAAAATATGAATCAGACCATGTCACATCTTGGCTTTATTTTTATTTTTATTTTTGTTTTTTTGAGGCAGGTTCTCTTTGTGTTGCCCAGGCTGGAGCGCAGTGGCGTGATCATGGCTCACTGCAGCCTCCAACTCCCTGGACTCAAGCAATGCTACCACCTCAGCTCCACAAGTAACTGGGACTACAAGTGCCTGTCACCATGACTAGTTAATTTTTTATTTTTATTTTTTTGTAGAGACCAGGTCTCACTATGTTGCCCAGACTGGTCTCAAACTCCTGGCCTCAAGTGATCCACCTGCCTCAGCCTCTCAAAGCACTGGGATTACAGGTGTGAGCCACCAGGCAGGCCTTAGCTTTATATTTTTAATGACTGCTATTTATACAATGAATACAATCACCTCCTTATCATGGCTTACAAGATGCTACCTGATCTGACCCTGCCTCCCTCTCTCCTCCAGGTGTATCCTGTCTGCTTCCTCTTCCCCTGCTTTTCAGACACATTAGTCTTCTCTTTTTGCCCTTGTCACCGCCACCTGGAATGTTCTTTTCCTTCATCTTCAAATGGGTGGTCCCAATCAAAGGTCAGCTCCTCGAAAGAGTCTTTTGATCTTTGTCACCCACCTGGTCTTAGTCAGTTCTGTTTCCTCTTCATTCTGGTCACTCCCTGTCCATCACCCTTCTTTATTTTATTCTCTTCATAACACTTTTAGCCTTTGAAATTGCTGATTTTGTTTAATTTTATATCTGCACCCCACCCCAAAGTAAGCTTCAAGGAGACCATATTGTCTATGTTTACCTTATTCTCTGAATCCCCAGTGCCTGGAGAAGGTCCTGGAAAAACAGAGGGTGCTCAGGAAATACCAGTTGAATGCATGGAGGAGTGCTCTGCTGCCCATCAGTGGCCCCCTTTAAGTGCAGTATTCATAACTGAATAGGGAACATCTAACCTGGTATTGGCACTTGCATTTAAGTTGCAGAGTTCTGGCTTTGCAGGATAGACCTCACTGGCTTCTTTGGGTTGCTGTTGTTGTCACTGTTGCTATTGTTCAAGCAGCCAAAACTGACTGGTATGGGGGTTCCTAAAACTGGAAAGTCTCTTTACTTACCAATCCATATCCTCCTATTGTTTAGGTTTGTCCTCCAATCACATTATTTTAATTGATTAAGGCCCATCTTGTTAGATATAGCCTAGTCTATCCACCTTTTGTATCCTGATTCTTTTCTCCAATTAAATAGACCATTTTCTCCCCTACACACTTTGCTTGTAGCCCATTAGTGGCCCCAGTCCTGAGTTTCCTGCTGGTGTCATGGGCTGATTAGAGTTTTAGGCATTGTTTGGTGTACGTTTGGTATCATATGAAACATTTATGATTCTATGGAAAACTGAAAAATGAGATTAAGAAAGGTGTTGCACTTGATTCTCATGTTCTCTATGTCAGGGAATGGCAGTTCGCCATCCAGGACAAGAGAAGATTGCTCCTATGTTCCACACTGATTCCCCTTGGCCCTTTTCTTTTTGTAGTTTTATGATATCTTTAGATTAAGAGGGAGAAAATAATTCCATCACTAAAGAGTTGTGGATAATTCTTCTTTTGGGTAAATGTAGCTAGACATGCAAAAAGATGACTTGTCTTTTTGTATTAATTTCTGGAGGAGAAGCATAGTCATGTGTAAATATGCAAAGTTCACTAGACTAAGTATTTTAGAACTGGAGAGTGTCTTTTACCTTATGCCGCCAATGCCTAAGATAGTGCCTGGCACATAACAGTAGTGAGTAAAGTAACCATACCTATTTCATGATACGCACTTCTGATTATTGAATATTGAATATATTATTATTGAATAAGGTTAAGCATTTATTATTGCTTTGTGCCAAACCCTGTTCCAATGCTCTATGTATGTTGATTCATTTGCTTCTTGAAGCAAGTAATAAAGTAGTAGTATCCCCATTTTATTGATAGAGAGACTGAGAAACAGGAAAGGTAAGTGACTTCCACATGTTGCATAACTACAAAGTAGCAATGCTAATATCTGTACATAGGCAATAGTATTCCATGAGCCATTTCATTAACCATATGCCAGAATTTGTGCCGGGGTTTATGGATGCATTGTTGCATCTGATACTCATTATAACTTTATGATGTGGGTATTATTTTTCCCATCTTAAACAATAAAGAACAAAATCTTAGGAAGTTTAGTCTTCCCATGATCACACAGCTAGTAAACTGCTGTTATTAGCAACTGGAGTTATGATCTACTTCTGTCCGAAATCTAGTTTCTTAAACACTATGTATTGTAGATGCATGAGAAATGAGTATTGGATATCTAAATCTAAATTACTAGTTTTCAAGAAAGAAAGAAAAGTTATTCATTGTGAAAACAATAGAAGCTGCATAGAAACCCCTGAGATGGGCTGGGCACAGTGGCCCATGCCTGTAATCCCAGCACTTTGGGAGGCCAAAGCGGGTGGATCACTTGAGGTCAGGAGTTTGAGACCAGCCTGGTCAACATGGTGAAACCTCATTTCTACTAAACATACAAAAATTAGCCAGGCATGGTGGTGCACGCTTGTAATCCTGGCTACTTGGGGGAGGTGGGAGCATCAGTTGAACCCGGGAGGCGGAGGTTGCGGTGAGCCGAGATGGTGCCACTGCACTCCAGCCTGGGTGACACAGTGAGTCTTTGCCTCAAACAAAACAAAACCGAAAAAAAAAAACCCAGAAACCTCTGAGATGTATGAGTTAATGATAGCTCCCTCTGCTGTGGCTAGAATAAATCAATTCATTAATACTTCTGATCCTGCACAAATAATCCTGTTCTGTCATAAAAGAGACTAAAAAAAAATTGGACTAAAATAACTATACACTTGGGACAACTAAATACCAAAAAGAAAAAGAATTAATCACAAATTGTTTCTGACTCACTTTTGTTCTGTGATTGAGGCATTGTTTCACATATGGAATCAGCATTCATCATCCAACAATCCTCATATCTGTAGTGCATACTAAAAGCAAACTAGAAACTTAATCCCAGCTTGAATAATACACTGTAATTTAAAATATTTTGTTAAAAATGTCATATTCTCTAATATTGTTTTCAAAAACAGTCAGGAAACACACAGACTTAGAATGTGTATATGTGAGCATGTCTGTATAATGTGTAATAGTATATTAGGGCAAATGCTTAACTATTGTGCCTTGTGCAGTCTGAAGAGCTTTGGTATGTACTTATGGAATATTATTAGGATATACCTCAATATTTATATATTTAATTTTATGAAAAATTTAAAATTTATTTTCTATAAAGAAAACAGAATTGCTTTCTTTATTATCCTCATTACTCTTCATTTTGAGTTCTTAATACTGAAGTTCTTTCAATTTGGAAATTATTTACTGGCTAGAAGTCAAGACATGAAGAACTTACTCTTTTCCAAGCCCTATGATGCATGTTGTATTCACAATAAGGAAAGAAACTGATAAAGTCCCTGCTTATGGAACTTGCAGTCTAGTGCATATCAGTTGTCAGGTTAATACTTTAGCACAGGACATTAAATGAGCCTCTTTCTCTTTGAACATGAATTCATCTGAGAGCCAATTTGCTTGGTTGGGTCTTACCTAAAAACAAAGTTAGAAGTCTAATTACTTAGTCTTTTGTGCAATTGTCTCCTTTGTTAAAAAGTATTTTATTCATGTACTTTAAATAAAGATGATTATGTATTATTGCATTTAAAAGTGACACAAAATCTCTATTCTCTCTACTCTTTCTCCTTATTGTCCTTTTCCTCATCCTATTCTTATATTCATATCTTATCCTATTATTATCTTATATCCTCATCTATTCTGTCTTACGCTCACACACACAACTTTAGCAAGTCTTTTTTTTCCATGATAGGCATCTAATGCCTATTTAATATTGAGATAAAATAGTGTAAATGACACTTAGGAAACAAAATCTCTCAATTTTTTAATGCTTTCACCTTCATTTTCATTCCCTCTTTAGGAAATAATTTAAGTTTATTTAAATTTAATCAGTTTATCAGTTAATCCTGTAATTATTTTTTCTTTGATAATTAGTTCCGTTGCTGTTCTTTTTCATTTGCATGTGCAGTTGTGTTTTAGCTTATAGTCTTTTCAGAAGTTAATGAGGTCTGCTAAGAGGCATATTGCCACAGCAAAAGCCAATTGGCTGGAATGCAGCAGCAGGGGAAGAATTCATTACCAAGGAGAATTCTAAAAGGGCAGCTGCTTACTAAATGCTACAGCTATTAAGATGGCAGCTTCCTGCCATGACAGAGCATGTTTCATTGATTTTCCTCTTTCCCATTCTCATATTGTTTCCTAATGACAAATTGAGACAGAAGCCCCACCTGCTATCAAAGGCATGTATAAGTGGGTTTTCAAATTATGTGCTTTCCTAATCATAAACTGTTGCTGCCTAAACAAGAGGGGGTTTTACTTTTTAAAAATCTATAACTGTTCCATGAAATTCTCAAGATGAAGGTTGATTTTATTTGGATATTCTACTAGGACATTTAACAGAAACATACAAATTTTGATCTTTTGGTTGATACAATCATTAAAGTTAAAAAATGACGGTCAAAAAAGGTGCATTCTTGTTGCTTTTTTTTCATATGTTTTTTAAAGACTGGAATTAAGCCTCCTGTTATTTCTATTTAGTTTATCATAATAATCATTTCACTGTAATTTTTTTCCATTTGGAGATGTTTTATTGGAAAACATCTATCCTACACTAGAAATTTGTGATATCTCAAAGAAAAGAATCTTCCCTAACTGTGAAGAGCTCTTAAGCCTGGTATTGTCTATTTAGAATCATTGGCGGCTCACTATTCTATTTAGAGGCCAGAGGGGATTTTTTTCCTCACTCCAGTGCAAAACATCACCAGCAGTGGTTTTTCTCTAAATGTGCAACATCCACAATTCATAAATTTCTTGATATAGAGGAAGGGAATTCACATTCCTGGGAGAAGTAATGACAAAAAGAGGAGAGAATGTCATCTGCACAATTACCTGGTAATAACTCACTGACGTTGGCTTTATCCTTTCCAGATCTCAATCAGTAGTGGATCCTACAGTACTAAAACGCATGGATAAAAATGAGGAAGAAAACATGCAACCATTGCTTTCTCTGGACTAATAACTTCTCTACATCCCCTTCATGGATTAGAAATGGAAAGTATTGGTTTTCAGCAACAGGGACAACACTGTAGAGGAATTACCAGCTGGAAACCGACTTATTCATGTTAATGTAGCATAATATATAACAAGGCATCAGGCTTTCCTTGGCCTGAACCATGGGGGCCCTGGGCTGGATTTTTAAAATGTCAATAATTTATTCTGTAAGTGCCAAGTTGTTTGTAAATATAATGTAATCTTCATGTCAAGTTTGTAAATTTCAGTAGTAACTCAGTTTGGAAAAAGGTTGGCTCAAAAGTCCATGCCAGTGTTATGAACTATAACAAAAAGCAGAAAAGACACAGTCAAAGCTAATTAAATGTAGCCCTCTTTCCTATGAAGCCATATTTCAGCTCTCATAGTGATTGTTTCATTGTTTTTCTCTGAAACTCTGTCAGTATTCAAACATACTCTTAACGGGCACACACAACTAAGTGATTCCAGGAAATTTTATGATTAATGTATTTCCTGTCTAGTGATTTTCATTTCAGAGAAATGTGTCTTAGTAACTATCATTGGCCTTGCATTTTGGAGGCAAGGAATGGCAGATGAGCTGGTAAACTGAACACTTGAACTCTTCTATGTTGTTTAATTCTTGGAATCTTGTGAAAAGATGTGTTTCCTCAATTAAGACGTAGAAATGTAAAAAAGAGTGGATTCTTTTTAAATTGCTGTCTTCACAATGTGCCCTTTATTCAAGACCCTATTATATTTCTTCCTAATGTACTCTAAGTACATTTCCCCTCCAAAACTCTTTGACTAAGAGAATGAGAACTCATGTGAACAGTGTTCTGACAGCTAATTTTGAACATAAAATTTTCCACTTACAGATGAGGGGCTAATTTCTAATTGTTGTGCACTGGTTAAAAAGTATATATATATATATATTCACACATATATATTTTTACTGAGCTCTAATAAATCCTTAATGTGACAGGCTTATAAAATAAATCATAGATATTCAATGATCTTATGGATAATTACATGAGATAACTCTGGAAAACTACTTCCACTGAAGTTAATGAAAAGGAGAAATAGTGAAACTGACTTTCAGTGTACCTATTTAAAGGAATTCCAAGTTAATTTATAATGCAATCTTACATATGTGCCATCTTATTTGAACTATATTTTTCCTTCAAAGAAGCAATAGGTCTCAACATAGTGTAGGTAGCATCAGGTGACAGAAAGCCAATTTTATTTTCAAATTTAAGTTAATTATCTTCGTGATCCTATTTATCCACAATTTCTTTCAGAAAAGACTGAAAAAACACATTATATTCAGGAGATATAATGAAATTATTGGAAGGCATCTATGACAACATGTAATCATTTATACGTGGATTTAGAAATTTGCATATTTAACATTTTATTTCATAAAATTTATACAATTACAGCAAATCTTAATTTTTTAATTTTAAATTTCAATGTGAAAAAATGATTTTTATCACCCATAATAAATTTTGAGATTGAGAGTTTACCATTAAAGTATTCTTTTGGAAGAAAAATATCTCAGAAACTCTTGGAAACCAACAAAAATAAAGGCATGTGTCAGCCTTCATATTTTTTGGCCAAAAGCTCCCAAAATTTGTTATAATTCTGCAGCCAAAAATTGTAAAAGCAAGCTGAATACACCAATGTACAGTGTATCAATGGACTGCCTCATGTGTGTAAAAATACATTAATTAACACAAATGAAAGATACCTTAATAATGCCAACCTCCAGTCAAGTGCAGAAGAATAATGACTGTCAGGCACTCTGCTCTCCTTGTGACTTTTACAGAGATTGGAATGCACTGGGGACAACATGTCTCAGCAGTTCTTACCTTTATAAGAATTCTAACCATTGATATTCTTACATTCTTGCCTACCTGACATACATTTTGTAGCCATGGGCTTTTTAGACTATATAAATCTTAGGCAGTATAATCCATTGGAATAAAATAGAAACATTGTAAGTGCAGAGGGCAGTCAACTTTTCATTCTCATGAGTTTCTCTTGATGTGTACCATTTATTGCCAGTTTTCAGAATTCTGCCAGTTTCAGATGTCAACCAGCATTGGCAGCTTCTTTCCCCTATCGTAAAGTTAGTGTCATATATAAAAATAACTAGAAAGGCATATTTTATATGTATGCCTATCTAATTATAAGTATCATTCACACTGTCTCCCAGACCCACATTTGGAAAGTTTGCATTGCATTACTGCTCATCTTTAGATGAGCAATTGAGAGTTGGCTAGATTGTGTAAAATATTTTAAAATGAATGAACAAATTACAATGATGATGCCTTTTGAAATTACCATATCTAGTTCATTCTGTGAATAAACTCATTTTCTAGTAATGTTTGTGAACCTTAGTCAAGGGATATTCATTCAACTTTATAAATTTACCCCTCAGCACCAGCTATCTAGCACTGTTTAGGAATTTTTCCCTTCATGATATTCTGTGTCACATCCTATGTCTATGAATAACCTATACACTATAGTTGTATGCCTATAAGCACTCCTATACTCTTGTATTTTAATTGCAATAGTATACCTCCACTCTCTCTCTCTCTCTCATACACACACACACACACACTCTTACACACACACTAACACACTAGACTGTTTGCCCTAATGAATTTTCCTCTGTACTTCGAGAGCTATTTTAGTTGTCTTGTCACTTGAAATTTGCGGGCTTCAAAGAATTATCGCATTTGACTTGGAATGGTCCAGTAGTCCATTTACTTCTTTCACCCTGCCTGTTCCATCTTCTATTTCTGATATTTTTTCTTTCTTCCAGTTATTTCAGGGGCAGGTGATTCCAAAGCTGGTTTAAAAATAAATAACTTCTCTTATGTTGTCAGTGATGTTTGCCTGCATTTTTGACTACTATTTAAGAGGGAAGAGATTATCATGAAAATATACTCTAAGAAATATGAAGAAGTGCCTCTTTGAAAATGGAATAAAGCAACGTTACTGGCATATGGATTTTATTTGTACTCTCTTCCAAAAAGTAAATACGTAAATCTATATTATATAGGTGAAATATAGATATCATTTGAAGAAGGATATTTAAGGCCTTTATTTGAACATACTCATACAGTATTAAGTCTCTGTTGTGTAAGTTAAATACAGTAACTTTAGTACATGTTAATGATAAACGTGGCACTAGGCTAAAACGATATACGAGTATTAAACAGAGTTTTGCAAGCAAGTTTTTGAAGTGGGCATGCATGAATTCTTTCATTTCAGTAATGGTTTGCATAAGTGTAGACAGAGATATTTCCTAAGTTTTTTCATATAGAATACTTATTTACTTTATAGTACCAAAAATTCATACATTCATAAGCAGGAAAGCCAAAAATTCATACATTAATACTTAGCTTTTTTAATACTGTTAACTAGGTCATATTGTTAAACATGTGAAGCGTCTGTAATATTCCTGAGGGAAAAGAGGTCCCTCTATTGCATCAAGAAATTGGAGAGTTGTTTTAGACATTGGGGAATATGTTTATGACTCTTCACATAAAGAAACCTTCAGAGCCATGGAGTATGTCTTCAGGGACAGGGATCATTTGCTTCTACAATGTAAAGGTTTATGGACATATCTCTGGTCCTTTAAAGAAGTTACATTAAGAAAGCTTGCTGAGAGGCTGTACACTCTTCTGTTGTTTTATTTAAAGGTCTGCCTTGTGTGGTTGGTGAATAATATCTCAGCTTCTTTTTTTGTGTATATTTATTAATGATTACATGAAAAGTTGCCATCAGCCATGAGGACACTTCAAAAATTTTCAACACACTAAATAAAATGAGCAGAGCTCTAGCATGATATTTGAACTTTCAGATATGGTATATGTACATTTTTTACAACAATAAGCTCATAGGCATATATTCCATTGTAGATCTGCTATATAAATACATAGCCTGAAACATAGTAATGCATTTGAAATTTGTGAGGTCACTGATCATACAAGAAGAGGCAGATTATAAACCAACATATTGGAACAAAAGAAGATTGGTTAAATATGCAAGGTGTGTAATTATCTTCAGTAATGAAAAGGATTTGTTTTCTTGTTTTTGTCTTTGGTTTTAGTTGAAAAAATAGCTTCCCATATGCTACTGGAACTATTTGACATTATTTGCTACATGAAAAAAGGCAAATAAGTAAACATACAAAAGAAGCTTGGCTTTGTAACATTATTATATTATGATCTCAATGGCTTAGAGAATATAATCTTTTTTAAGAATTAAAGATTTTATTTTATAAATATTTGGAGGTTAACATAGGACATGAAAATAGTGCTGTGGATTCTGTTATGTACTAACTATGGGAATGAATTCTCCAGTACCATAGGAAAATATATAAGATAACAACTTTGTGGATTGAAACACTCAAATTAGCCTTTTTTTCAAGGAAGCAGGTGTACAAATGATGCTATTGAAATAAAAAAATGTAGAAATCACTTAATTATAGGAGTTAAATATAATCAATGCACTCATGGTAAATAATGGAAATTGTTAAAATTTAGAAGAGTTTTGTCATTATTTGACTTAGATTTAAGTCTCAGTGCAAATATGTCTGTCCTTGATATAGTGCATTTATTCTGTAAGACTTATTTTACCTGGTGAACGAGATGGACTTAGGTGAAAATAAATTTTAACCACAGTTTTAAGGGTCACCCAATCCTCAACTACTTTAAAAAATTGCAATGAATTTTAATTCATTTACTTTTAACAGAGATACAAAGCACTGTCTTGTTTCTAATCCAATTTTTCAATTTTTCAGATTTTATATTTGCTTAAACAATAAATAAAACTCAGAAAACCAAATAGTTTTTGTTTTCAAAGCTATCCAGGAAAAATAAAAGATGTCTAACAGGAAATCATACAAGTCCTTGAAGAATACTGAGTATATTATTTGCTATTTTACTCAAATGTTATTAATTTTTACTACTACAAACTACTTATTTAGTACTACACGGCATTTACTATTTGGCCTTTTGAAGGAGTTATAAATTCCAAAACACTATAATATAATTTTTGGACAAGTATACATTTCTGTTTAAAAGAAATGTATGCTTTTATTTTGTATATTTTATATTTTAAATGTATACATTTATTTTGCACATTGTTAATGTTAAATTTGGTAGTCCTGGATCTGCTGCATCTATAAAATGGAGATTTCTTTAAAAAATCGTCTAAAAATTAGCAATATTTTTATTTTGAGAGAAATTGTGCTTAGCTATTTAAGTTAAGATTCCTCAAGTTTGTGATATTTGTATGTGTGGGGATCAAAGAGGAAAATATATAGTAATTTGTTTCATCAAAATGACGTATTCAATATTCTATAACTTCTAGTCAAACTTTCAAATGAAAGTTTGAAAGAAGTAAACTAATGTTTTAATTACATATAGCAAAGGAATGATCAGTAAATAAAATAACTAGGGTTTTCACATTTGCAATAGAATGACTGGATTAGGCAAGAGATTAAATTTAGAAATTTGAATTACAGAAAAGCATTGGTTTAAATAAATCCTCAAAAAAGTAATCCCAGGTCAAAATATGATGTGAAATTAAAAAAAAAATTCAGCCTGATTTGAGAAAGAATGCTTACTCAATAAATATGTATTTGTGTCTTCTGTGAGTTTCCCTCATTTATCCTATCTGTGGATGAAAAGTCATCTAATAAGGTATAAGAGACTCAATTACATTTACCTAGAACCATCTACAAGTAGACTTCATGAATTTCTTTGGCTCAAACTCAGAGGATTTTCTTTACACAGGATTCTTGAGGTTATCAAGAATCGTTATTGCTGCTCCCTCCTAAAGGCAGGCCAGGAGAAGCCACATTTCCAGCAGTAGTATCCTCAGTGGGAATGAACCAGAAAACAAAGAAAAAGCCAGAGATATTGTCTCCACTCTCGTTACAAAAAAGTGCGTTCCTTCTTCAGGAGGATCGAGTAGAAAATATTTTCTACTCGAAGAGGCCATGGGGAAGTGATGGTCAAATCTCTGTTGTGAAGCAAGTTTCCACACAGAAACATCATCAAAAACACGTACCTCTGAGCATCACTTCTTTCTCTAAAAATAAAAATAAATATGCTGTTTTCCTCCCTTTTTTCTAATTGGCATCATAAAAGTATAAGAAGCCACAAATGCATTGTTGCCACTTAAGAAAAAAATCCTATGTTATACATATATGAACATAATTCACTTAGTTGCATATGATTGAAATATTTGCATGCTGGTTTATAAATTATTACCTAAAAGTTTTATGAAATATAATTATTAAGTTTTAGTGCTAGAAAAATTGTTGTTTTTTGTGTTTTGTATTCATAGGGAAGACTAGTAATATCCCTTACTCCTCATTCATATAGCTAACAATTTTAATTGGATGGCTAATGGATATGGCGGATTTAACATTTACAAAACCAAACTACTTTCACTCTGACCCTGCTTCCCCTTTAGCCTTCTCATCTCACTATGTGTCGACCCCAATCTTCCAGTTTCTAGGAATAAAAATTTTGGAGTCATCCTCTCTTTCCTTCCTCTTTTTCTTTCAAAACTACATCACATCAGCTAGCTCATGCTGTTGGGTCTTCAAAATATATCCACACTCTAACCACTTCTCCAATCTTCTTCACTGTATTGGACCAAGTCTTCAACATTTTCCATCTGGAATATTTTAATAATCTAAAAACTAGTCTTCTTGCTTCCAGAGTCAATTTTCAACACATTAGCAAGAGTGAGTCTCTTAAAATGTAACTCAGACCATTTTGTTCTCCAAACCCTCTGAAAGAGTAAAAGCCGATGTCTTTATATCAGTGTATGAGAAGTCTTGATATGAAGGCAGTAAGCACCAGTACAGCAACATAGCATGGTTTCTGATTGGGCTGGCATTTTTGCTGGTACTATGAAAAAATAGTTGTTAAATACTTTAATTTCTTGCTTCTGAAGTTCTCTACCCCGTTCTTGCCTTTTCTTAGATAATCTCTTAAGAATCTCTCCTTTATTTACTGCTGCCAAACTGTCATCTTTGCTGTTCCAGGAACTTGCTAAGCATGCCTCTACCTCAGGACTTTCGCATTTCTGTTCCCTTTGCCTCTAATTTCAGATATCCACGTGGTTTATTCCCTCATCTTCTTCAGGTATTTGCTTAAATGTCATCTTCTTTGTGAGGACTCTCTTTCCTAATTTTAGATGAAACAGCCCTGTGGTTCTTCATATTCTCCTTTCCTGCTGTATTTCCTCTCCATAGCATTTATCACCTGATACACCATACAGATTATTTATTTACTTTGCATTTCCCCCCAATAGCAATGTGAACTCCACAAGGGCAGGAATTTTTGTCTGTTTACTACTGCATTACTGGTGCCTTGTACAGTCCCTGGAACTTAACAAATCCAAAATGATTTCATGAGGATCCTAATTTGTTTCAGCAAGTTATGTAACGGCCAATAGTATGAATTGAAAGAGTTTCTTGTTGTCTTAATTTAAAAAATTTTGTTATTTATCTTCAAAGGGGAAATTTTACCCTCTCATGATAATAGAATCATGAATCAAAAATGATATCCTCTTCTCCCCAATTGTGATCTCTATCCCTGAGCCTAAGTTTTACATCAGTATTTCAGTTTTGTCTTTAGAAGTTACTCAACGATCACTGGACCCTATATCTATCCACATGGCTTACTCTTGGAGAGACTACAAGATAGCTCAGGGGAAAAGTCATTTTGAGATTAAAACTACATGGAATTGTTCTTTATGGATTATCATGGTTAATTTCAATTTTTAAAAATATGCAGGAAGTTAAAAGACTATAATTCCAGTATTGGAAGCCAGTTTAAGAGAATATGACTATGTAGTTACTTTTAATGGAAAGGGGAAGAAGAGGAAGAAAAAGGAAAGACATTGTGTTCGTATCTTCTCTGCAACAATTATAAAATGAATGAGGAAGTATTTTGGTGTTTCTAAGGTCTTTCCATGATCTTGAAATCTATATATTATAGTCATTTAGTCTGTGAACCATTTTAACAATTGGGTTTCATGTTACATATCTTTAAATTTTTATGTTGAAAATTTATAGCTGTGACACAAGATGATAGAAATTGCTCATGCTCACATATATTCCAACTGGCTTTTCAGCTTGCTCCCTTCTCTTTTAATTTCAGCTATCATTTTTAGAGCCTTACAGTCACAATTGTTCTTAACTATCCCAAATTTTTATTTCCTATTTGGACTGACTTCTCCATAATTTTAGTAACTAAATGACCTAGATATTGGTTCTTGTTGTGATAGGTTTCTGATTTGTATCCTTTGCAGTTTAACTTTTAATCCTTACCAAACATATGTTATTCCTTTTCTTCAGCTACATTGTTGTGCCTTTCCCAACACTGTAATAATTTAAGCCTCCTGTTTTATAATCTTCTATCAGAACATATATTAAGAAGACACTGAATTTAAAGAATCAGCAGGTGATGTTGAAGAAGAAATATAACCTGAAATATAAGAATAGATGTTTGAAACTGTTTCAGAAGTTAACCAGTCTTTTAGTGGCTTTGTAATGGGTAGGGGTTTTATTCCTCTTTGTGTGCTATGTAGGACATTGTTAACCAATATAGATTATGTTTCTTGTCAGTTACACAAGGATAGGTAATCAGGGTTAACAGTTCGGAAAACATTCTCTAGAGAAGAGACTAATGATTCTTGCTCACAAACAAGGCAGAATTTCCTTATGTTTCTTAATATTTGATCCTTGATAGTCTGTACAGTGGAAACCATTTCCCTCTGTGATATCCTTTTTTGCCAACCTATATGAATGTGTTTAGCGTCACTTCAGATATAGAGTTCAAGCTCAAGTATACACAGCACATGAAAGATCCTATAGTTCATGTTCTCTTAGGTTGAATTTTCTTTTCATAATTTTTTATGATTGAATTCTAAGGGTATGTTCCTTGGTAAATTGTGTTAATTATGTCCACTTTATAATGGATTTAACAATTTTACAAAGCAGATCATTGTTTATTATATTCTGAAAACCATTATATTAATATTTTATTTCTTTTTTTGCAGAGAAACTATTGTCTTTTTTGATTTCTGAGGATGAATGAAGTACTGTTAAATAAAATGTCACTAAATGAAACTTCAGATTCAGAAATGCGTGTGTGTGTATATGCCCTTACAGTTTTTTCATCATTAACTAAATTTCTGTAAATTTAGAAAACATCATATCAAATAGCTATGAAGAAATGTGTCATATAGAGACATATGAATTTGGTGCTAGCATTTGGACACATAAAATGCTTTAAAAACTGACTTTAAACATATATGGCTATGTTGTTATATTTTGAATTTATTGTTGATTTGATCAAGTATATTTGATACATTGGTATTATCTCCAAGTCATTAGAAAGAACTTCCTGACTTCTAGAATGATAGATAGAATGGAGATACAAGAAAGTGTCAGTTATATATAAAGTCTTCCCCTTAAAGCAGTGGACTGGGTTGAATAATGATTTCAGTTTATTTCATTTTTTACACTAACATTACCTATGTTCTGTGTACTGGGGGTATGGGAATAAACAAAACAATGTCTTTGCCCTTCTGAAAGTCACACTCTAGTGGAGACAACATATAAAAAGCCAGTAAGAGTTGCAAGTGCAATGAAGACCTACTAGTTTAATTGTGTGACCTCCAGCACACTGTTTTCTCATCAGTAAAATAGGGCAATAATTGTACCAACAATATGAGCTAAGTTTCCTATGTATCCTCTTGAAAACTTGGTTCCTTCCTTTCCATGGAAAACCCCAATATAAACTCCCCTTATCCATGCTCTTTTGAGAATGGCGTTAGGGTCATGTGGTTTCTGTCTTTCTGCTCAGAGGTGGCAGTGATTGCCAGGGCTGTAGATGCTCAGGGCAAATGAATCTCCTAATCAGTGCTTTTCAGGGTCATTCAGAGGTGCTGGCTCCTGCAGAGTTTAACTCTTTTGAGGTAAATTCCATACTCATTTACTTTATTGTAACTGAAAAATAAACTTTGATTTGCCATCAGAAGACAAAAAAGAACAAAAGATTTTAAAATTCTGGAAATTGCACAATTTACTCTTTCCATTTAATTTGTTATTCCCCCTTACCCACAGTCAGAACCACAATTCCTGGTTTCCATTGATGGGCTTGAGTATACTTTATGTAATACAACTGATGGAAAGCCCAACCATTGTGGTTCCAGACGTGCTAATTTAGGTAGTATTAAAAGGATCATTTTGGCTGGTATGTGAAATGTAATGAAAACATTTGCTTTTTGTATGATGATCATACTATAAAACCTCTTGAAAAACTCATAAGAAAGTTTCAAAGTATGGGCAGAGTACAGAAATCCCATGAGTACTGATTGTACTCATCTAGGAGGAGCCATAAGTAAATAAGTTTCTCTTATGAAAAAAAAAGTAACAACCAGCAAATGATATCTATCTTAAGGAAACATGTCTATTTCTCTTCATATAGAAATATTACTATAGGAGAGTTTCTATGTTAGTGCAGGCTGGATGCCATGTTAATTAATGAACATAAAATTGATTCTTCTTTCATATACTGATTTTCATAAAGCAATATTTCAGGCCATCAACGATTGAGTCACTAGATTTATGATGGAGAAAAATCAGAGCCTCTATTATGATCATAATAAAGAATACTATTTTTGGAGGCAGGAAGGTATACATACCTTTCAGATTGCCTTTAAAAAAATAAATAAACTGTTTTCTTTATGAAGTCTTTATAAATTTATTTCCATCATTGATTGTGTACTGAAATTTAAGCCAGTCTCTGAAAAAACAAATAAATTGTGACTTTATACAACTTATTTACTAAAAGACATTTGAAAGCATTTTTTGAGATGAAAGAATTTTAAAACTTATTTTGCCAAAGTTGATCTTTTAACATTTAGTGAACATTATAAACATGTTTTAACAAGTTTCTCAAAAATAGTAAAATAGGCCAGGCACTGTGGCTCATGCCTGTAATACCTGCACTTTGAGAGGTCGAGATGGGTGAATCACCTGAGGTCAAGAGCTCAAGACCAGCTTGGTCAACATAATGAAACCACATCTCTACTAAAAATACAAAAAGTTAGCTGGGTGTGGTGGCACATGCCTGTAATTCCAGCTACTTGGGAGACTGAGGCAGGAGAATAGCTTGAACCCACAAGGTTGAGGTTGCAGTGAGCCGAGATCCCACCACTGCACTCCAGCCTGAGCAACAGAGTAAGACTCTGTCTCAAAAAAAAGAAAAGTAAAATAAACTGTAGAAACAATTAAATACTTTAAAAATAACTAGAAATACCTAAGCAAAAATATTTTTAAATTTAGAATAATGATGAGGATATTTAGCAATTATATAAAATATTCAAATAGCAGATACTGCCAAGTAGATAATTATCAACATCTATGAAAATACACAAAGTATAAACTTTCCTATTTCTTCTCACCCCATTGAAAGCTACCTCTTTTCTTTCTTTCTTTCTTTCTTTCTTTCTTTCTTTCTTTCTTTCTTTCTTTCTTTCTTTCTTTCTTTCCTTTCTTCTTTCCTCTTTCTTTCCTTCTTTCCCCTTCCCTTCCCTTCCCTTCCCTTCCTTCCTTCCTTCCTTCCTTCCTTTCTTTCTTTCTTCTTTTTTTCTTTCTCTTTCAAATAATAGATGCTACTGCTAGAAGATCCTTTAGAGCTTTAGAGATAATCAAAACATGGCTGGGTGCAGTAACTGACAGCTATAATCCTAGCACTTTGAGAGGCTGAGACTGGAGGATCACTTGAGCCCAGGAGTTTGAGACTGCAGTAAGCTATGATCATGCCACTGCACTCCAGCCTGGGTGACAGAGCAAGACCTGAAATCTAAAAAATAATAAAAATCAAAATCTTTAATTTTATTAGTATATAAATAGAGACATACCAGGTCTGTCTTGATAAAAGTAACATCACTAGTTAAGAGAAATACTAGTAACAGAACCAAGATTTCAACTGGTCCGGTTATGCTGCTGTTCCTTTTAATACTTTTCCCCTGGCTCTCCTAAAACTTTTTCTATTAAATTCTGTTCTACTTGGACATAACCTCATTTCATTTTCTCTATATCATTAATTGTGCTCAGAATTATTCATCAGTATTATATTAGGTAAACATCTACTAATGCAAAGGGGGACAACACTCAGGAATCTTTACATTGGAAACAGATTGTACATATCCACTCTCTCCAGCCTTTCAGGATTTTAGCAATCAATGGATTTAGGATGAGCTCAGTCCAGTAGGAAGAAGAGATTTCAACAGGCCTATGTCTAAATCAAATGATAGTCACTCAAGGAAGCCAACTTTCCTGATTTTAGAAGCATGTGCTCCTTAACTTCAAGAAGAAAACTGTGTTCTCTGTGCCCTTTTCACTTTCCCTTGTGAATAGCCTTCATTTGGCCGATCAAACGGGGAGCAGGTCAACACAGGTAGTCAATTTAGCTCCTGACTTTCTTCTCTACATTTGTCAGTGATTTAGGGCAAGTAGAAGCTCAGGATGTTGACTTTTTCTATCATTACAGCTGCCAAGCAACTATGTAGTGTATCAGAAAGCTCTGATACTGCATGGGAGAGAGTTCTTCCCAAACGTTGATTCAGGAATTTTCCCCTATTAAATTAACTTATGAAATGCTTTTCTAATAAGACTTACCGTAGTAATTTTATGGATTAGAATGTTAACACATTGGATTATCTTAAGTCTTAAAAAAATGGAGAGAAGTTGTAGATCTTAATAGATTGGTTTAATCTAAGCATGCAAAAATATTTAATTTGATTCACTACAAGGTAATTAAAAGGTTCTGCATCATATATTGCTTGAGATTATGTTAGCATTGCTATTGTTGAGTTTGGAAAAAGGCAGCCTTGGAGTTACTTGGTCTCTCATTTTATCTAAATTTTAACTGTTTTTATATGGTTTTAAAAATAATGTGTGAAAACATTGTATTAGACTCACACCAAGTATATAAACATCACAGAGTCATACTCTCTTAAAATAATGCATTTTAAAAAACAGTATTTATCATAGCATTCTCTTCTAAGCTGACAGTAATCTATTTTAAATAGGATTTCTTTCTGAGAAAAGAAATTATGTTTAAAAACAGCACAACTCCATGCATTATACCATACATTATAAACTCCAAATGTATTATAAATTTCAAATATTTAAAAAGAAAACCATAAAAGTATCAGTAGAAAGCATGAAAGAATGTCTTTATAACCTTGGTGTAGCGACCTTTATGCCAATTATTCAAATTCCAAAAGTTAAAAAAAGAATACATTTCATCAAGTGAAATTTAAAATTTCTGTATGAAAAAATTATAAACAAAACCAAAAGACAACTGACAGACTGGGAAAATTTTTCAACTCATATAACTGACGTAGAGATAACATCTCTAAATTAAAAAGCTTCTAGAAATTAATAAGAAAAGAAAAAAACTTAATAGAAAAATAGCTAAAACTGCTGGGCGCGGTGGCTCACGCCTGTAATCCCAGCACTTTGGGAGGCGGAGGCAGGCGGATCACCTGAGGTCAGGAGTTTGAGACCAGCCTGGCCGATGTATAGTGAAACCCCGTCTCTACTAAAAAGTACAAAAATTAGCTGGATGTGGTGGCGCAAGACTGTTGTCCCAGCTACTTGTGAAGCTGAAGCAAGAGAATCGCTTGAACCCGGGAGGCGGAGGTTACAGTGCGCCGAGATCGCGCTACTGCACTTCAGCCTGGGCGACAGAGCGAGACTCCATTTCTTGAAAAGAAAAAAAAAAAAAAAAAAGAAAGAAAAGAAAAATAGACAGCTAATACGAACACATGGTTCAGAAAAAAGAAAATATAGTGGCTCTAAAAATAAGAAAAGATGCTACACCATATTCAAACTATGCAGTAGTTTCATAATACACCCTCAGAGAGGCTGTGGGAAGCATCTTTCCCCTACCTTACTATCAGCAGACTACATGGATACAATTTCTGTGGATGACAATTTGGCAATATCTATTAAAACTACAAATGGAAGTATCCTTTCACTCACCATTTCTCTTCCGGAAATGTATCCTTCAAACATACTTGCACATTTGAGAAATATATGTACAAGGATACTCATAGGTAAATTACAAGAACAAAAAAAAAATGAAGAAACTAAAAAAGTTTAAAAATATATAATGTAGCCAAAGAGAGGATACTATACAAATCTAATGTAATCTACTTAAATTGATATAGCCAATCAAAAGAATACTATGCATATCTAAAAATAGTAAGGAAACACTTTATGCACTGATATAGATCCCTAAGATATCCTACTCAGAAAAAAAGTAAGGTACAGCTGCTGTACTATGTATAGTATATGTGATGTTTCATGTAAATATGTGGCAAGGGGGATAAAAATAAATGGTCATATTTGCTTGTATATTCTTAAGGAAATGTAGAAGACTATATAACAAGCTAATAACATTGGTTGTTTGCTGGGAAGAGTTAGAAATTGGGTGGATTGGGACAAGGTGAGAAGAAGATTTTCACTCTTCTACAATTTGTTTTCATTGTTGAACTTTGTGAATGTATTACCTATTGAAAATTTTTTAAATGACTTTATCTTTTTTATCTTACATTATTTTGACATCGCAAATAAAGATTGTAATACAGATGTGTGTATATATTCTGATACATAGATATATGGTATTCCATCCATATATATATATAAACTGCTCAACCTAAGATACAGACTACTATACATAGTTTTAAATCCTCTTGCATGTCTCTGATTTCCCCTTGAGGCCCTCTGGTTTCCACTTAAAGCTAACTATCCCAAATTACGTTGATTATTATTTTTATTTTTTGTATAGCTTACCACTTACGTGTATATCTCTAAAAAATACCTTTGCATGCTTGAACTTTACATAAATGTCTTACTATATGCATTTTTCCACAACTTCCTATATTCACTCAGTAGTATGTTTTTCAGTTTCATTCATGATGTTGCACTGAAGATTATATATTTTCACTCCCGTAAATTTGATTATCCAAAAGAGTTCATGTAAGATTGGAATGCTCACTTCTTTGAATGTTTGACAGAACTCAGTTAAATTACCTGGGATTGGTGTCTTCCTTATGGAAATATTTGAATTATCAATCTCACACCCTCAATGATTTTAGGACTAGTATTATTTTCGGTTTCTTGTTGAGTTCATTTTGTTATTGCATTTAATTTTCTAAGAATTTGACTATATTCACTGAATTTTAAAAAATCATTGCTTGCATTTTATAATATTCTCTACCTTTGAAAATATAAATGCTGCATTTGTCTTTATTGCTCCTTTCTATTCTTCATATTATTAATTTTTAAATTAATATTTTAATTAATTGAAGCCTTCTCTATATAACTTAGCTGAAATTCTTGTACCTTTGCTTCCTATTCACTAATTCCACTATAATGTTTATTGTTTGCTTCTTTCTTGTGTAAAATTTTGTGAATCTTGTTTTTTTTTATAATTTCCTAATTTGGTTCTAAACTATTAAATTTAAGTCTTTCCTATTTTCTAATAAAATTTTTTTGAAAGCGATGGATTTTCCCTTGGGAAATGATTTTTTTTCAAAATATTTTACATTTTTGCCTCTCATATTTAATTCTAGACCTATGTGGAATTGATATTTGTATGTAGTGAATGGTACAGATCAAATACTGCTTTTCCCCCTTCTGACCAGGAGATAGTGTAGCCTGATGTAATTACTTATTGCTCTGTGTTTCAAATGACCCAGACCTGTTTTACTCTGTACCCTCAGTAACTATTCAAACCAAAACTTTAGATGAAACAAAGTCAGCAGAAGATCCAGCTCTATGGATGTCATTGGTCTCTGATATCCTTCCTTGGATTCTTAAACCTCTCTTGTATTTATAAAGTGAAGATTTCCCTTATTTTCTTGCCAGTTTAGCTTTATTTAAATAGTGTGGGGTTTTTGTTGTTGTTGTTTGTATGATAGCATTTCTACTTGTGTTGTTGAAGGAGAAGTTGATAGTGTATTACATATGAGTAGTACGAGAAATCTATTAAATTGATCGTCATTATAAGAACTTGGAACTCCCACAGAATAAAGCCTTTAGGATAATGAACCTAACTTAGTTTTAAAGAAATTTACATTAATGTTGCTAATCCCTTTATGTGTTTTTTTAATCATCAACACTTTTGACATATGTCTCAATACAATGTGTTCCAATATTGTTCATTCAAGAAAAGAAAATTATGGGAGTAGGATGCGAAACAGCCACTGATTTAAAAACATATATTCTAGACATTGTAGGTGCACATTAAGTAAGGTATTCCATATTGGCTGTAATTGATGGTAAGTTTCCTTGGAATCAAAATTGCTTCTTTTATTTTTCTCTTACAGACAATTTATGTATTGGCATAGGCAAAAAGTTTTGTCACCTGGTGCCTGTGTACTCTTCCATAATATTAGGCAGCACTTTCTGAAGGCATGGATACACAAAAAATATTCAACAAAGAGTCTGTCATTTCTTCTGCATTTCTTCTTTTTAAACAATCACATATGAGAAACGAATTCATTTTGGGATTATAGGAGGCTATGTTAAGATAACCAAAATAATTGGGTAGGCTTCTTTCTACTTCTAATTTTTCAGAACCTTCAGGTTGTCTCTAAAGCAGTTTATTAACAAAATTATTTTATACCTTATAGAATGAGTGGTCCAGAATTACACAATTTTCTTACAAAACTTTTGCCTTATAAGATTTATGATGGTCTCTTACAAGATTTGTTATTTGTGGACCAACATGAAACCTATCAAACATTGCTCAGAACCTAGGATGACTTTTAGATTCCTAAATAGTTTTCTACAATTGTCTGGATAAAAAGGTTCGCAGTGGGTATTAATAATATGAATAGACTAGAACAACTGATACTTATGAAAAAATCAGGGACAAACCAAGATAACCATGAGAGTAAGCCCTGATACCCTAGAATGGTGGTTAGGTGGTCGCTCAGATCAGACTCTTGAGTTTAAGTCCTTTGTATTAGCTTACAAGGGCAGTCATAACAAAATCCCAAGGACCAGGTGACTTAGACAACAGAAATGTATGCCCTTACAGTTCTGGACTCTGGAACCCAAGATCGAGGTGGTTTATTCTGAGGGTTGTCTCCTTGGTTGTGGCTGACGCCTTCTCAATGCCTTCACATGGTTCTCCCTAGTGTTTTCTGTATGTTCAAATCTCCTCTTATAAGGATACTGGTCAGTTTGCATTAGGGCCCATCCTAATTGCTTCATTTTAGCTTAAATACCACTTAAAGGCCCTATCTCCATGTCTTAGTTCATTTTCACAGGCTGCTGATAAAGACATACCCAAAATTGGGAACAGAAAAATGTTTAACTGGACTTTTAGTTCCACACGGCTGGGAAGGCCTCAGAATCATGATGGGAAATGAAAGGCATTTCCTTCATGGTGGCAGCAAGAGAAAAATGAGGAAGACGTGAAAGTGGAAACTCCTGATAAACCCATCAGGTCTCATGAGACTTATTGACTATCATGAGAATAGCGTGGGAAAGGCCAGCCCCCATGATTCAATTACCTCCCCCTGGGTCCTTCCCACAGACGTGGGAATTCTGGGAAATACAATTCAAGTTGAGATTTGGTTGGGGACACAGCCAAACCATATTATTCTGCCCCTGGCTCCTCCAAATCTCATGTTTTCACATTTCAAAACCAATCATACCTTCACAACAGTCCCCCAAAGTCTGAACTCATTTCAGCATTAACCCAAAAGTCCACTGTCCAAAGTCTCATTTGGGCCAAGGCAAGTTCCTTCTGCCTATGAGTCTGTAAAATCAAAAGAAAACTAGTTACTTCCTAGATACAATGGGGGTACAGGTATTGGGTAAATGCAGAAGTTCCAAATGGGAAAAAATGGCCAAAACGAAGGGGTTACAGGGCCCATGCAAGTGCAAAATCCAGCAGGGATGTCAAATTTTAAAACTCCAAAATGATCTCCTTTGACTCTAGGTCTCACATCCAGTTCACACTGATGCAAAAGATGGGTTCCCATGGTCTTGGGAAGCTCTGTCCCTGTGGCTTTGCAGGGTATAGCCTCAATCCTGGCTGCTTTCATTGGCTGCTGTTGAGTGTCTGTGGCTTTTCCAGGCATGCAGTGCAAGCTGCCAGTGGATCTACCATTATGGGATCTGGAAGACTGTGGCCCTCTTCTCACAGCTCCAGTAGGCAGTGCCCCAGTAGGGATTCTCTGTGGGGGCTCTGACCCCACATTTCCTTTCTGCACTGCCCTAGCAGAGGTTCTCCATGAGGGCTCTGCCCCTGCAGCAAACTTTTGCCTAGGCATCAAGGCATTTCCATGCATCTTCTGAAATCTAGGTGGAGGTTCTCAAATCTCAATTCTTGCCTTCTGTGCACCCACAGGCTCAACACCATGTGGAAACTGCCAAAGCTTAGGGCTTCCACCCTCTGAAGCTACACCTGAGCTATATGTTGGCCCCTTTCAGCCACGGCTGTAGCATCTGGGACACAGGACACCAAATCCCTAGTTTGCACACAGCACGGGGACCCTGGGTCCGTCCCATGAAACCACTTTTTCCTCCTGGCCTCTGGGCCTGTGATGGGAGGGGCTGCCGTGAAGGTCTCTAACATGTCCTGGAGACATTTTCCCATGGTCTTGGAGATTAACATTAGGCTCCTTGCTACTTATGAAATTTCTGCAGCCAGCTTGAATTTCTTCTCAAAAAATGGGTTTTTCTTTTTCTACTGCATCATAAGGCTGCAAATTTTGTGAACTTTTATGCTGTTTCCCTTTTAAAACCGAATGCTTTTAACAGCACCGAGGTAACCTTTTGAATGCTTCACTGCTTAGAAATTCCTTCCACCAGATCCCCTAAATCATCTCTCTCAAGTTCAAAGTTCCACAAATCTCTAGGGCAGGGGCAAAATGCTGCCAGTCTCTTTGCTAAAACATAACAAGCATCACCTTTGCTCCAGTTCCCAACAAGTTCCTCATCTCTGTCTGGGACCACCTCAGTCTGGACCTTATTGTTCGTATCACTAACAGCATTTTTGTCAAAGCCATTCAACAAGTCTCTAGGAGGTTCCAAACTTTCTCATATTTTCCTGTCTTCTTCTGAGCCCTCCAAACTGTTCCAACCTCTGCCTGTTACCCAGTTCCAAAGTTGCTTCCACATTTTCGGGTATCTTTTCAGCAGCGCCCCACTCTACTGGTACCAATTTACTGTATTAGTTCATTTTCATGCTGCTGATAAAGACAAACCCAAAGCTGGAAATAAAAAGAGGTTTAATTGGACTTACAGTTCCATATGGCTAGGTGGACCTCAAAATCATGGCAGTAGGCAAAAGACACTACTTACATGGCAGCAGAAAGAGAAAAATGAGGAAGAAGCAAAAGCGAAAACCCCTGATGAACCCATCAGATCTCGTGAGACTTATTCGCTATCATGAGAATAGCACGGGAAAGACTGGCCCCCATCATTCAATTACATCCCCCGGGTCCCTCCCACAACATGTGGCAATTCTGGGAGATACAATTGAAGTTGAAATTTGGGTGGGGACACAGCCAGATCATATCACTCCAAATATATTCACAGTCTGAAGTCCTGCAGGTTAGGGCTTCAACACATGATTTTAAGGGAACACAGTTCAGCCCATAACATCCGTCCTTGTCATTTAGTAGCTGGAGAGACATCAGGCCATTTTTTTTCCTCCTTTGTATTTCTCAGGATTTTTGTGACTATTAAAGGAAAAGGCACATGCTGAGCACTTAGCTTAATGCCAGGTAAAAGCAAATGTTGGTGATTGGTTTTAATTATGATGTAATAGAAACTTTACATTTTCACATTTAGGTGAAAAATTATAATATACAAAGAAATAAGATAATAGTGTGAAGTGTGGTGTTAATGTAAAGGAAGGCATCGAAAACTGGAGGTCATAAACCTAGTGCCTCTTTTGCTCCAAATTAGTCTTTTATATTTATAAATGTAGTAGGTTTTTCCCAGGTCCTCATACCTCATTTGAAGACAGAAGAAACAAAAAGTGTTTCTGGCCTGTGTCTCTTGCCTTGTAGACCATCCATTTCTATCTTCTCTTACCACTGAGTAATTCTTGCCCCTACCCCCCATCAATGGGAGCTTGCAGCTTACAAAGGGCAAATGGGAAATGGAAAAATGTCAGCAGAGTCATGAAGTTGAACTAGAAGATGGGGAGACAAGACTTTTCAGTTTGAGATGAGTATTTTTAAGCAATATTGAAAACTATGTCAAAGAAAAGTCTCAAATAATAACGAATGTTGAAATAATATTGGTCGTTATGTTCACTAAGTGTTGTTAACAGTACAGACAATGTAACAAATGATTATTGAGTTATTAAGTCACTAAACACTGAATTATTTTACTTTATTATTGAATATATAACATTCTACTTTGTAAACATTTTTAATAAACATGAAATAATGGAGACCATATTATGTGCCATGTACTTTTTAAATGAAAGTTCATTATTTTTATACTTTATTTTGATGAAAGTAAAGATGTTCTGAATATGAGTTCAGAGTAATAAATGATAGAAGCAGGATTTTTTAAAAAGTACTTAGTTATCTAATACCTAAGATATTTCCACTACAGCTTTCTGCTACCTACATGTACCTTGATATTACCAGAAAGTTAATTTAATCAGGATATTCTGCTTTTTAAAGAATTCTAATTCATAGAGATTTTGCAATATGTGTTATACTGCGCAGCATATCAAGCATGTTATATATAACATGTTTTGTGTAATCTACACAGATTAGTTGTTTAACTGCTAATGGAAATGATCTTAAGTCATTTTATAGTAATAAAAAATTTCTCTCTGTTGTGCTTACAGCAATTTGGCTTTCACTATTGATATATTTGCAAAATGTGTCAATAAAAGCAAGATCTAAAATACATGGAAGATCTATCCCATAAAAACAGTTTTATCTACATATTTTGACAGATTTTTAGTGCAATGTAATGACCAGTAATGTGAAAATTATGGTGTGTGAATGCCATTATTTCTATATCAAAGGCAAAGCTGAATGAAATATATGAATTGAAAATAAGAATGGACACTCCCAAAAAGGAGATTCATATTGGAAGCGTATGTTAAATCTAAGCCTCTTGGAAATAATCACCAGGAAATAGCTTCTACTGTTCTGTGAATATAGTACAAATGTGGCATGTGCATTACATGTGTTAGAATTTTTTAAAGTTTACTTTTTAAGCAAAATCACTTTATAGGCTGGGCATGGTGGCTCATACCTGTAATCCCAGAACTTTGGGAGGCCGAGGTAGGCAGATCACTTGATGTCAGGAGTGTGAGACCAGCCTGGTCAACATGGTGAAACCCTATCTCTACTAAAAATACAAGAATTAGCTGGGCGTGGTGGTGCACACCTGTAATTCCGGCTACTCAGGAGGCTGAGGCAGGAGAATCCCGTGAACCCTGGAGGCGGAGGTTGCAGCGAGCCGAAATCATGCCACTGCACTCCAGCCTGGATGACAAAGCGAGACTCCAACTAAAAAAAGTTTTAAAAATCACTGTAAAAAAAGAAGAAAAGTGTGAGAAAACTATCTCTAACATTTTGTTATTCGCAAACAAGTGAGTTTTATTAAGGTATACATGATCTCCATTGCATGGGGCATGGCTCCCCTTCCTCCAGACAGGCTTGGCAAGTGAAACGGACAAAACACATGGCATGAGGATCATTAAAATGCTCATCTTCATCCTTATCTCTGTTAATTAAAAAAAAAATCTCTTATGCTGGCTCTGTTTGTCTGATCTTATCATATTACTTATTCTTCCAGATGACATAGTGAAAGACACGTTGAATAGATTTCTGGGAACTCTAACAACTAAAGCCTACCGTTACTTGGTTGATTAGATTAACCATATGCCTCCTACCAGTTTCCCATAATAAATAGTAACAGACGTTTTGAAAAAATTAAAGAAGTATAAAGAGAGAGATGAGAAATATATAAAATAAAATTTTAGTCGGTTAAAAAAATTTCTGGATGAAGCCCTCTGGAATGAGAAACAAAAAATTGCATAACGTGAATCATTTGATTCTTTCTATAGCTAGATAGGTGATATAAAGGATCTTTATAGGACACAGAATGTTCTTTATGGAACAGGGAAACATTGACATATTTTGAAAAAAAAATTAAATTGGCCCAGCTCTCACTCCCAAGTGGTGGGGGTGGAGAACATTGCTTGATAGCACAATATCTCAGTTGGGTATTTTTGCAATTTACATGACAAAAGTAATTTGGCTGCCAGTCACAGTCGACGGAAATTCTGAAAACTAATAATTCATAGTGCAGTGCTGTTTATGGGACATTATTCCTAATTTTAAACTCTTTAATTTACCTCCCATGTGATTCCCATTTAGAAAGAAAATGCATAAAAGTACTGAGAAGAAAACAGAAACCATAGGATAGAGAGTTTTTGCTAATTGTTCTTATAACATAAATCCTGCTTTTCCCAATTGTAGTAAATCAGTGAGTCACTTGATATATAATATTTATAAATAGAAAAACAGGATATTCATTTATAGCAACATGTACAAGCAACACAACTAGAATGGGTACGATACTTAAATTTTTTTAAAATGAATACCTGAGCAAACAAGAAAATAAAGGAAATATTCAACATAAAATGAAAGTCCTGAAGCACTTGCATTAAACTGGGTGGTGGGTGTGTGGAATGGAGAGGTGGGAAGTTGGTGGAGAACTTTGCTATTTTTGGGTGTAAGAAAAGGGTGACAAATCAGAACTGAGATCCTGCACTAAGGTAGGTCCCACAAAGGGGTGTACTCTCAGTAAAAGGTTAGAATAGAAAGAGCCCACTCACCCCCAAAGGTAAACCCACCCTCATACGGAGCCTGGTAAACCTCAGTCTGGCTTCTTGTGTCAAATATAAGTCTCCTTTGAGAATTCATAACCATCCACCTCCTTCTCGCTCGTGTGGACTACAGGTTCCAATTTATACTACATGAGTGGTCCAGAAAACCATAATCAGAAATCGTATTTAAAAAGTAGTCCCAACTGGCAGCACCCGTGGAAGGCCTGTCAAAAACAAAAGCACCATTCTGGAGACATGGCCAACCCATGTTCTCAGGATCTCCACAGAGATAAGCTTCCTGAAGAGAAGTTCACCATCCAGTTTTAAAATCTAGGAGGAATAAATTTACCATGAACAAGAATCATCAGATACGAGAAACTGTAAAAGGCATATCATCTCCGTGAAAGTTTTAGATATTAAACTATCAAAGATTATAAAAATGGTAAGTGTGCCTACTGACTTATTTAGTCAACTTTCTTAACAGATTCACACACTTGTTTTTGCATTCAATAAATTGAGGACTTGAATATAAGAATAAAACAAAAATTTTAGAAGAAAGTACAGAATACCTAATGCTAGAATAGGAAAGAATTTATTAAATCCTCCTTCCAAATAATTGTAAAGTGAGAGATAAGTTTGATTATATTAAAATTAAAATTCCCTATACAGAAAAAGATACCACAAATAAGTGATAAGCTAGAGACTAGCGAAGGCTTTTTGGGAAGAACATATCCAACAAAGATTTGAATCTGGAATATATAAATAACTTCTGAAAATAAAAACGAAGAGGTAGATAATGCAGTAGAAAAGTGAGCAAAGATCAGCCAGGCGCAGTGGCTCATGCCTGTAATCCCAGCACTTTAGGAGGCCGAGGCGGGTGGATCACAAGGTCAGGAGATTGAGACCATCCTAGCTAACACGGTGAAACCCCGTCTCTACTAAAAATAAAAAAATTAGCTGGGCGTGGTGGCGGGCGCATGTAGTCCCAGCTACTCGGGAGGCTGAGGCAGGAGAATGACGTGAACCTGGGAGGCGAAGCTTGCAGTGAGCCGAGATCGTGCCACTGCACTCCAGCCTGGGCGACAGAGTGAGACTCCATCTCAAAAAAAAAAAAAAAAAAGTGATTGAGAGAAAAATAAGAAATCTGAATTGCCAAAAAAAAAACCCATACAAGATGCTCACTAGATATTAGAGAAATATGAGTTAAAGTAACATCATGATACTATAGCACACCCAAAGATTAGGAAATTTCAAAATATTTTATAACACCAAGTTTTGCTGAGGTTTCTGGAGAGAGTATAATTAGTGTCACCTTTTTGGAGAGCAATTTGGCAATATCTAATAAAATTGGAAATATGGAATCCTTTCACTCTCAGGGGTACATTCTAGAGAATTTTAACATGCACACAATGAGATTAGGTAGAATTCTCCTTGTATGATTCGTAGTAGCTAACAAATTAAAAACAATCTCAACATTCATCAAGGGAAGAACAAATAGTTACACTGTGATATATTTCACCCTGGAATGCTATACAACAATTAAAAGAACTGGTGCTACAAGTACAAAAAATGTTGAAATGATACCTATATTATTATGCAACTTATGTAAAATTTAATAATAAGAAAAAGAGCATTCTATTCATATAAAGCAAAGCTATAACAACCTAACAAAGTCAAAAAATTGATTACCTGTGGGGAAGGAAAAAAGGAAGTACGATCAAGCAGGAATTTAAAGTACCTTTAAATATATGTATTTTTAAAAAAGAAATACATATTTTAAAAATATATATTTTTAAAAAGAATTATCTTAATTTCTTTTAAGTTTTGATCAAGAAGCATGGTGGGGTATGTGAGTCTTTATTTTATTATTCTTTAAAATTTCTTGTATGTTTGAAATATTTCACTATAAAAAGGAATGTCATGATTTTGGCTTACTCCACCACTATATAAATATTGTCCTGACAATTAAATAATTTTGATGAAGTGCCATTCTGTTAATCTGCTGAAAAGGCCCACATGTGTCCATGTTTTCCAGGCCCTGTAAAATGTGGTTAAATTAGGTCCAGGTGCCATTTAAGGTGAACATTGTTCTCTGTGCAAGCTGCTTATAGGGTAGTGTTTAGCTATCTCAGTTCCATTAAAGAGAGTCAGAGAGATTGATCCTCATTAAATGACTAGTCTGCAAGACTTTTTATGGACTGAATTGTGTTCCATAACCCCCAATATGACTGTGGTTGGAAATAGGGCCTCTAAAAAGGTAATTAAGGTTAAATGAGGTCATAAGGTTGGGGCCCTGATCTGATATGACTGCTGTCCTTATAAGTTCTTCTTATAAGGGACATGAGAGGTGTGCATATGCAGAGGAAAAAGTCACAGCAGGAAAGAGACTGTCACAAGAGAGAGAGCTCAGGAGCAACCAAACCTCCCAACACCTTGATCTTAGACTTCCAGGCCTTAGAGCTGTGAAAAAAATGCATTTTTGTTGTTTAAGTCAATGAGGTTGTGGTATTTTGTGGGATGGAATTTTGTGGCATGAAATTTTATGATTTGGAAGCCCTAGCAAATAAATACAGCGATTACAGCATGAAAAGATATGAGATTGAAAGCCCAGAAATAGATGAAAGACCAGAAGTAGACAGGTTAATTAGTCTATGAAACTGAAGATATTAAAAGAATACCAAATGGCCTTTTCAGCAAAGTTGCTGGCAGTATCAGATTTCCTAATATAAACATTTCCTAGCAGCATCAGGTGGCCCATGGCCTTATTCTAACATCAGGTGATTGTCAGCATGGCTGAATACCCAAGTATAAGTCATGTCTGCAAGAAGAAATAGATTTTTTTTTAGCTATTGTTACAAATAGCTTTCTTTGTTTTGAGTTTTATACTTTGTTTATATTACTTCTCACACAATACCCTATAAATTCTGGCATATTAGTAATTACTCCAAGGTTTAGTGCCCAGCTGCCTAATTTAAGTCCATTTCTGTTGTTAATAATTAGAAACTGTAGGAAAAAACAAACAAACAAATAAACAGAAACAAACAGCACAACCAGGTCTTAAATGGGCTTTGGGTTCCATTTTAATGATATGTTAGTCTTTGAGTGTGTTTTTTTTTTTTTTTTTTTTTTTTAGATAGACTTTCACCCTGTCACCCAGGCTGGAGTGCAGTGGCGCAATCTCAGCTCACTGCAAGTTCCGCCTCCCGGGTTCAGTTCACACCATTCTCCTACCTCAGCCTCCCGAGTAGCTGGGACTACAGGCACCCGCCACCACGCCTGGCTTATTTTTTTTGTGTTTTTAATAGAGACAGGGTTTCACTGTGTTAGCCAGGATGGTCTCGATCTCCTGACTTGTGATCCATCCACCTCGGCCTCCCAAAGTGCTGGGATTACAGGCGTGAGCCACCGTGCCCGGCCTAGTTTTTGAGTTTTAAAAAATAATGTTACTGTTACCCATTACTGCTTCTTCTCAGACATGAGAAAATTTTTTCTTTATTCCTTTTGGATAAATGGATTGTTTCAAACAGAAAGAGAAGATTTGAGATAAAGGGGCCTGCTGAAGACAGTTAAACTTAAGGGAATGACTAAACAAGAAGAATGAATGAAGATAGTGACAGCTAAAAGAACATTGGATTACTATGGAAATAAGACATTTAATATAACACTCATAATGATATCTACCAGTTTTTGAGCCCTTATATTACACTTGGGTCTATGCTCTGCCTTTTATATATTTTATTCAATTTAATCTTTAAAACCACCCTATAGAGTGGATACTAAGATTAGCCAAAATTCTCAGATGAGAAAACTGCCATTTAGTGACATCAATTAATCTGCTCAAGGACAGTGCCAGGATCTGAATCCAATTCTTTCTGATTGATAAACCTAGGACTTTGTCTTAGTCCATTTGGAATGCCATAACAAAATACAACAGATGGGGTGTCTTATAAACAACAGCAATTTATTTCTCACAGTTCTGGAGGTTGAGAATTCCAAAATCAAGGCACCAGCATATTCAGTCACTGATGATGGCAAGCTTTCTCATAGACAGCTCCTCTCACTCTAACTTTACATGGCAATCCATAGAGGAGTCTCTCTAAGGCCTCTTCTATAAAGGCCCTAATCCCATTCATGAGTTCTCTGCCCACATGACTTAATAACCTCCCAAAGACCCCAGTTTCTAATACCATCATCTTAGGGGTGAGGATTTGAACATACAAATTTTGAGGACACATAAACATTCAGATCACAGCAGCATCTTTAACCACTGCAACATACTGCTCCACAAAAGACAGATATTTCTTTTAAGAAATTACAGAAGTCAACGTGAAGCATTATAATTGAAATCTCTTGTATATTATCAGGAGTCAGAAGACAGCAAAGCTGAAGTCTGACTCTGCTTTGCCCTGCGTAGTTTCAGGACACCTTGTACTTCAACTCATGTTTGCTCATGACTCAGTGTGGCTGACATCTCCATGACACACAAATTAGACCAGAGAAGCAAGACTCTCCCTGAGCTGGAGCTGGCCCTCAAGGTAGTGTATACCAATCAGATATATCCTTGGAGGACTCCATAATCAGATTTGGGAGGTCTGGAAGGAGCCCAGACTTTCTATTCAGCAGGAGTGGGCTGAGATTCAGCTGTAAATAGAAGAGAAAGGCTGCCATAGCAGTGGAAAATAACTATGTAGCCCTGGCTTGTCCATTTCACATAAATGCCACAATGATTCATCTTTGAGTTGATAAACATGTTTTCCTAAGTGAAAGTCAGACAGACAGGATGTGATTCCCAGCTAGAAGGGCTTCATTACTAAAGTATTATAGAGAGAAGCTGCTGAGCCTATGCCTTTGCCATGCTGGAAATGGATTTTTGCTAGGGGCACAGTTTTTCATTTCAGTGAAATGCAGATAAGGGGAAATTCTGGCAGTTTATTGTAGTGAGTCTTTAGTCTTACTTTCCTTTTAGTTCTCATAGTGACACAGGTCTGGTGTCATATTCAGGGCTCACATTAAGAATATGAGCAATGCTCACTGACTTCATTGACATAGTCGCCAATGTATTCCCAAACCTGAGGGGGAAAAAAACACCACAGACTCAGGATTTGAAATATAGATGGCACTGTTAGACTCAGGATCTATGTTTAGAAAGAAATTAGGCACATAGCCACCAGATAGATGCAAGGAAAATACCACACCTCAGTTATTAAGGCATCAGGTTTTCTTACAGGCTCTTGTTTACAAGTACAACCCAAGTTCACCACCATCACCCCACACTACCCCATACTTTCAAAAATCACTTTATAATTCCCAGGGGAGAATTATAAATCAATGTTGATTGATTGCTCTGTAGTATATGTAAACAAATAAAACCAATGGGCATGGGGAGCCCAATTCACTGCTTCTCTTGTGACAAGATTAATTTCAAGTCAATCCAGCACTGAACAAACATATATTGGGCATGTAATATTTGGTGGTCTCCATCTGGTTGCTGGGATAGGAGTATGAATAAGAAGGAGCTTTTACTTGTGAGGGCCTTACAACCCAATAAGGGAGACAGAAGCACAAACACCTGTCAGTGTAATGTGGCATGAGAAATAGTAGAATTAGAAAGTATGATGAAAAGAATAATGAAAGAATAATTTTTTCCTGACTGAAAGTAGAGTTAGGAATGAAAATAGAATTACAGAAAGCTGAAGCTAGGAGCTTGATAAGGTCTAAATGTGTGTCCCCTCCAAATCTCAAGTTGATGTGTGATCCTAAATGTTGGTGGAGGGGGCTGCTGGGAGGTATTTGGATCACTGGGGCAGATGGCTCTTAAATGTCTTGGTGCCCTCTCCGTGGCAATGAGTTCACTTGAAAGCTGGTTGTTTAAAGACCCAGTACCTCCCCACTCTCTCTTGCTCCCTCTCTGACCATCTAACACACTTCCTTCCCTTCCCTTCTGATTTGACCAAAAGCTTCCTAAAGCTTCACCAGAAGCTGAGCAGATTGCAGTGTACAGCCTGTGCAGCCTGCAGAACCGTGAGCCGAATAAACCTGTTTTCCTTATAAATTACTCAGTCTCAGGTATTCCTTTACAGCAACACAAAATGGACCAGAACAGAGATGATACTGTGATAGATTTTAAAGCCTGAGAAAATCATTTTTCAGGTAGACTAGTGAAGTAATGCATTCTAAGCCTGGGGAAGAATATGGGCAAAATCATAGCAGAGGGCCTGTTTGTGGTATAGTTTAGGAATGGTGACACATCAGGCATGGCTGTAGAGTGAGGTTTTGTGAGGACAGTGTGGAGGCAAAACTAGAAAGGCACATTGCAAGTAGGTTGCGGGGTAAGTGGGGCAGGTTGTAAGTGGGAGTGGGGAGGTGGGGAGTAACATTGTTGCCTTTTTTGCTCTAGAAGGTGGAATACCAGCAGAGGCCTTTAAAAAAGAATCTGACAGGATCTGAGTTCAGATATAGATAAACCACCTCTATCCATTTATTTATCTTTTATTAAATTATTCTGCATTTTTCTTGTATGTAAAACCTGCTTTTCATAAGGCCATATTTTAATCAGAAGTGCATTTATCAGGCAGCGCCATCAAAGTAGAAGACAGAACATGGGAGAATGGAAAATCAGGAGAGTAATTTTATCTTCAGGAATGAAAATGAGCATTGAAAGGTCATTGTTCTGTCCTTTGCCTCTTGAGGCTGGCAAATCTAGACACAAGGAGTCAGAGTTGGTACTCTTTCTGGCCTTAATGATAGTAACATCAAGATTCTTTCAAAGCACAAAATGACACTCATAAGAAGGATCCTGCTTACCAGACAAGCCTCATTCTTCAGCACTGCCATGTGGGAACCCCCGGCTTCCTTTTTCAGCATGAGTTTCAGGAGACTGATTTCACCATAATTTCTTCTTTCTGTGCTTTTTCATATTCTGATAAATACTTAAAATAGTCTTTCATTTAATAACCTTTTTTACTGGATGATTCCTATTTGATTCCTATTTATTCTTTCAGCTCATATATAATCTGCTCCAGGAAGACTTCCTTGAACATTATGAACTTGGGTTAGTTCTTCCCTTATGTGTCTCAATGTTATCTCACATGTATTTTCATTATACCAATTTTCCCATTGTATTAAAGTTGCTTAACTTTTTCTACATCAAATTGCAAGCTTTTGGTAGGCAGGCACTTTAGCCTACCACAGTATTCTCAATGTCATATACTTAGAAGATCCTCCAAATGTTTGTTAAATCTAACGCAAGAGAATGAGAAAAAGAAATAAATTTAATTATTTAAAGTCAGATAAGGAACTCTTCTATAGCCAAGGCCTGGATGGTTTTAGCAAGTAAATATAGGTAGATAATAAAGAAAGCCTTCTCTTTCTTTAACATGGCAGAAAAGTCAAATAGTTGAAGAGTGGGGCCAGCATATAATGGAGTAAAGGACAATAAATTACCAATACTTGACAAAATGTATATGTGCTTGAAAAACAATATCAGGTTTAGGGAGAAGGTCATTAGCCTCTCAATGGCCCATTTTCATTTCCAATGATGAAGAATCTTTCAAGTTTAGGTGTAAATGGTGCCTGTGGGAACCTAAGATAAACATCATTATCTCTATATCCTTGTTTGCCCCTTAAAACCTTAATAAGCAATAGTTACTCCATACAGAAAATACTGAAATTTTAATGTTTAACAGGCTTTTCAGATGACACCTACTGGAAGAAGAAAAAGTTTATAGTTACTCTTCCAGAAACAGAAACTCATTGACTTGGATTTAATTTAGAGATAGAAGCACAGTGTCTCAATTTTAGCTCTTACACCTATCTACACAGCATCCAGTTACCAAGTCATGTTGATTCTGCCTGCTAAATAGTTCTCAAATCCACTTACTTTTCTATGTCCTCTTCCTTAATCCTAGCTTTATGGACTATCTCAATAATCTTTTATTTGGTTTTTCGTATTTGACACATTCTTTTGAAGTACAAGACTGAGTGTACCAATCCTAAAATTAAAATCCTTCCAAAGAAGTCTTCCTAATGTTTTGGGATTAGATATAAAATGTGGAGTGTAGATCCTCCATTCTGGGCCCCAGCAGCTCCTGTCTGTGCTCTCCTTCTTGCACACTTTTACTGCTACCCACCCAATCTCTGCCATAGTGACTGTCACAAACTACTTCTCATTCTTAACATTTTCCTCATCTGTGTGCTTAGAAAATATCTATGGGTTTTCTATTGCCATCTAATAAATCACCACAAATTTAGCAACTTAAAACCATAGTTTTCAAGAGTCAGGAGGAGTCTAGGCATAATTTAGTTGAGTGTTCTGCTTAGGGGCTCACGAGGTTGCAATTAAGATAAAAGCCTGGGATATGATCTCATCTAAGCTTTAGGTACATTTCCAAGTTCAATGGTTGTATGCAGAATTCAGTTCCTTGTGACCATAGGATTGAGAACTTCAGCTCCTAGAAATCACCAACATTCCCTGCCACATGGGTCTCTCCACAGCATGGCAGTTTGCTTCTTCAAGGCCAGCAGGAGACTATTTCTGCTCCTTCAAGTCTGAATTCTAGATCCTCCTTGAAAATGCTGACCTGACTAGTACAGGCTCACTCAGGAAAAACTCCCTTTTGAGTCATTTAAAGTCAACTGATTAGGATTTTCATTACATCTGCAAAATCCCCTTACTTTTGCCTTATAACCTAACCTGATCAAGGGAATAACATTCGATCATATTCACAGGTCCTACTCAAACTCAAGAGAGGGGGCTTATAGGAGTATAACTCTTTGGAGGAGATCTTAGAATTTTGCTTAACTCCCTTGGATATATAATCTCATTTTAGTTCATCTTTCCTCATTCTAACCCTTGCTGAAACTGTAATCAAATCAGGTATCACAAGCTCAGATGCCTACAGTGACTGGCAGGTTTTGTTAATGAATAAAGTGACAGTAAAGAGTGGTAGTAAATGTGGTGATTTCAAAGGCTTCTGGCCATTAAAGTAATCCAAATCTCCTCAATTCTAATCAATCATTGCCTTGCAGAATTATGGCCCAGCAGCTTTTTCTAATTTTTTCAGATCAGCCAGGAATCCAGATGTTTGTGTGTGTGTGTGTGTGTTTGCATGCTCGCGCATGTGTGTGTATGTACGTGTGTTTGTCTATTATGCAGTGTGTGTCTGTTATGCAGTGTGTGTCTATTACGTGTGTGTATGTACATGTGTGTGTCTATTATGCATATCTTGAAGCCCGATTCCCTGATGTGATGGTATTTGAAGATGTGGATTTGCGGAGTTAATTAGGTAATGAGGGTGCAGCCCTCATTAATATTTGTGCCTTTATAAAAGGGATCTCAGAGAGCTCGCTCTCTTTCTGCTACATGAGGATACAAGGAGAAAACGACCATTTGCAAACCAGGAAGAGTGCCCTTATTATACACCATATCTGCCAGCACCTTGATCTTGGATCTTCCAGCCTCCAGACTGCAAAAAATAAATTTCTGCTGCTTAAATATTCTGTTTTAGTAGTTCTAACTGACTGACACAGTGTCTGAGTATAAAATATTCTGATTTACAAATGTTCTAATTAATTCTAATAATAAAAACTCTCTCCAGGCCAACAGTATGCAGAATAAATAAATATATTTGCAGTCAGGATTTTTCCTTGTGCTATTACTTTGAAAATTTTAAGTGATTCCATCAAGATTATAAGTTATATGTATCTTTTTCAATACATTTTTATCCTTGTAGACTATAACTCCATGAGAACCTGGATTGTATCTCTTATTCATTTATATATTTGAGCACTTAACACACTGAGGACACATAATGGATGATCAATACATATTTGTTGAATGGATTAATAAATGGAAACCTTGTGAATTCTCAGGAAGATAGGCCTGGGTTAAAATTATAACTTGCCAACTAGGCAGTTTGATCTTTGATGAATTGTTAACATTCTGAGCCTTACTTTCATTATATACAAAATGTGATTATATATAACTACTAGTTTTATTGTGAGGACTAACTGGAATAATGAATATAAATTACATAGGATAGCAGTTTCTCATTGTAAGATGATTTTTCTTTTTCAGAGATGGCTCACAGATATGAGTGAATGAGTGTACACTCTGTTTTAGCACTAAATGCTTCAACCATATACTTTTGTACAATTTCTATGTTTTAGAGTTACAGTGGTGGATGGTCTTATCAAATTCAAGTGTTATATCGGAAAATTATGTATGTATGTTACTATATATACATAGAAGATATATATATATAAATTACATTGTATATATACAATTTACATATTTCAAAGGTTGATAGTTTTGGTTAAGGTAATAGAGTTGGATCTTTGGCAAGGAGAGCAGGGAGCAGGGAAAGCTGTGGTGCTGAGGAGAATGAGGCAGTATGATATTGTATGCAGAGCCTCTTTTCTGCCTCCCACACAGAAAGCATGAAAAAAGAGCTACTCTCTAGTAACAATATTCCTTTGAAATATTTTCAAAGGAAATGAAGCCACAATTTGTTCCTAACTGCTTTATTTCACAAACACTATCAGGAAGGGAAATTCCTATTGTACTTAGTGGATGCATTAAATTCTGGACATTAGTATTGTGCTTTTTCCAGGTATAGTTACAAGCATTTTCATAAGTAGACAATTATAGACAGCTTATAATTTATTATTGTAGGGTTATAAAATAAAGGAACAAAAAAGAAAAAAAATCTTCTTTTAAAATAATGAATGCTTTAGTTAAAATGATCAGATAAATCCACATGAGCAAAGACAAAAAAAGTCACAGGAAGCACTTCTGCAGAAAGATCAGTCCATCATGTTAGGAATATTCAATGATATTGTCCTTATTTCATTTTTTAGGCTTCTACTGTGTTTACAGTGGAAGCTATTTTATTTTGTTGTACATCAGAAGATGAGAATGTGCTTAAGGGAATTTGATCCAATTAGTATTACATTGCTGGCCTTTAGTAAGGAACATACCAAATGAATTCAAGAGTAGAACTGAAATATATTGGTTACACATAGTAAATATTCTAAAGGTTCAAGAGTACCAAAAATTTAACTTTGTAATTACAAGCAAATGCATTATAAGATTTTAGAATCTGAATTGTTCATAGCTGTAGGGAATCATTTCAACAAACGATTCTTGGGGAAGAAGTACAATCAAATGAAGCTGAACCACGTAATAAAATTAACAGTATGCACTTGGTAAACTCCTTCTTACTAAATGTGTTAATATCATCAAAGACAATCTCTCCTACCATCTGCAGAAGCAGTGAGAACCTACAAGAGTAAATAACTCCCACAATTGTTCAATTTGTTATTAACAAACTTGTAAAATTATTTTATAAATTTCTTTCTAAGACATTATCTTTTATAATCATTAAAAATTTTACACTGCTAGTTGGTGTATTTTTAAATGTAGATGCAAGCAAAAAAATAATCTAGCTGCAAAATAGACCCAAATACATTTCTGCTTTTTATTTTTTTCAAGGTCATAATAATTCAATTTTTACCTTTTGCAAGTACTACACCGGAACTAACCAGAAAAAATATTTTTGACTACATAAAACAGGACAGATTTGGGATTAAGAAATAGGGAGTTTAACACATGTGGACTTTGTTTTACATAGTAAACGTATTTCCAAAATTATATATTAATGTGAAGCAAGCAAGGAGTTATTTATGCATGTAAATGATAGCTGAACTTATATAAGTAAATGATATTGCCAAGGGAATATTAATATCCATCCTAGTGCCAACTGAGATGCCCACATTTATTCCTTAGTCAGTGTAAGAAGGCATGCTCACCATGGCCTGTTTGACTGACAGGGTGTTGTAGAAAATATCTGCTGCTGCTCTAAGCTAAGAGCTGACAATTTTGGAAGGAAACTCAAGTGTTAAGCTGGGGTGGCCTATATGACCCTCGCTTTTGCTCCAGGAGCTTGAAAATATGGCACTCCTCAATCCTGTGTACCCAGATCAGACCATTTATGCTCTTAACATCTTTCTTTGTGTGCTTTCATCTTGGCATGTAATGCCTTAGTCAAGGACTTCACTCCAGTTTTCCCTTCTTCTTGTATCACTTTCTTTTCTTCTCATTGGATCATTCATATCAACGAAAACATATACTGTTGTTTTCCCCACCTTCAAAAGAGAACAGAAAACTTCCTTTGACCTCACATTCCTTTCTAGCTACTCCTGAATTCTCTGCTCTCTTCTAGAGCAGATCTCTTGTTAAGTACTCTTGGTTTTTGCAGTCTCCACTTATTCATGGCAGTTGTTTCTTGAATTTGTTCCAGATTTTCATCTCCACCTCTCAACAAAAATTGCTAGTGTCAAGGTCATCAATAACCTCCATAGTAATAGATCAATAAATTCAAATTCCAGCCTTCATTTTTCTTGATTTTTCAGCAACATTTGAAATACTCTCTCCTTCTTGTATTAAACATTGTCTTGTCTTGCCTTCTGGAAGAGTGTTCTTGTTTACTTTCAATTGTTCCATGTGGATCGAATCCATCTTCTTCACAACTAAACATGTCATGCTCCAGGCTTAGTTCTCAGCTGTCTTCTGTTCTCTAACTGAACTTATGCTCCTTCATTCTTGGGATTTTGATATCATTTATATATGGATGACTCTCACATTCATGTCTTCAACCCTGACTTGCCTCCTAAGCTATATATTTTTATCTCCAAATTTATACTTGATTTTCCTTTAAGATATGCAATACTTGTCCCAAATTAGCTTAAGTTAAAATAAATTCTTGACAATTGTCTTTCAAATATCTTCCTTCTTTAGTCTAAAATAGTGGTTCTGGGGAATAATTTTGTCTCCCACAGGACATTTGACAATGTCTGAAGATACTTCCAAGTGTCACAACAAGGGGTGTATGCTACCGCCATCTATATTCAATACACAGCCAAAGTGGAAAACTTCGTTCTCCTCTTCCTCTCACCCTCATGTTCAACCCATTGGCAAACCTTGTCAAATCTACTTTGGAAATATATCTGGAATTCCTCATCAATTCCAGTGCTACTTCTCCATTCTATGCCACCATCAACTCTCACCTGGATTAATTCACCTCTTGTCCCAACTAGTCTCCCCTTTTCTACTAGTGCAGATGAAAATTCTACACATTAGCCAGAGCAATCCTTTTAGAACACTTAGGAACCTCCAGAGACTTCTTGTCTACCTCAGAATGAAATTCAAAGCTTTTACTTTTCTTCATAGCCTATTTACATTTGTTTTTTTTTTTTTTAAATCATTTGTCTCATCTTACCAACAGTATAAACTTAAAATAACAGTGACTCTGTTTTGTTTATTGCAGTATTCCAGAGCCTAAAAGAGTATAGTATACATAGTAGGTACATAATACATATTTATGGATTGAATAAATATCCACAAGGTAAGTGTATTAGTCTGTTTTCACGCTGCTATAAAGAACTGCCTGAGACTGGGTAATTTATAAAGAAAATAGGTTTAATTGACTCACAGTTCCACATTGCTGGGGAGGCCTCAGAAAACTTACAATCATGGTGGAAAGCAAAGGAGAAGCAAGCACCTTCTTCACAGGGCAGCAGGACGGAGTAAGTAGAAGCAGGGGAAATGCCAGGTGCTTACAATTCCATTGGATCTCACGAGACTCACTATCATGAGATCAGCTGGGGAAACCGCCCCCATGATCCAATGACCTCCCATCAGCTCCCTCCCTAACATGAGGAGATTACAATTTCAGATGAGATTTGGGTGGGGACACGGAACCAAACTATATCACTGAGTCATGCTTGATGACCCAGTTAGTAAGGATCTTCCAAACACTCCGGAGTGGACAATACTGACCGCAGAAAAAGCCATTAAGTTATATCAGAATGTGCTTTTAAAATATCCCTTCTTAGTCAAATAGAATGTTGGTAGCCCTATGGTAGCCCCCCATTTAAAAAAAAGTATTCATGTCTTATAAAATTCAAGTTCTAGGGATCCTGGTATAGATTTTTATAAAGTCTTTCCATCCCCCTTTCTCTTTCCACAACTCTAAATTAGGACCAAATGCTTTCCTGTATAAACTACTACAACATCCTCCTGACAAGTCATTAACTAACTTAAATTCACCATTTTCTGCATTAAAAAGCATTTGAAAACTAACCAATTGCTTGTCAAATTAAGATAAAGAGTCTCTTTTTGGCATTGATATTCTTGATGATACAAGTCCAAATAAATTTCCAATTTTAGTTTTCACTATTCCTTCAGAGAGAAGACAGATTTGCCACTGAGCAATTCTAGGTTACCTTTTAAGTCTATGTTTTTTGAGCTCCATGTCTTTACTTAACCTGGTCTCTCTAGATAAAATGATGGAATTCTCTTATTACCATCTGCAACACCCCAACCTTTGACATTCTACAGAATCCTTGAGGTTCATTTAAAATGACATTTTTCCTTATAAGACCTCCCCTATATTCCCTGAGAAGTGACTTTCCTTCCCTTAAATGCCACAGAGCTCAATTAGTACTTTCTTTATGTTCTAGTCTTCCTTCAACCAGGAATTGAAACTTACAGATTTGTCTTTTCTCTTAGATGGCACATTCTTGAGGAAAGTTTTTCTTTTTTTAAATTTTTATAACTTTCTTAAAACTTATCAAAATATATTTGGATTTAATATAATAACATATAATGTGTGTAAGCTTCACATTTTCAATAGTATTGTAAGTTCCTTAAGGTCTAAAATTATGCCAGATCTTTTTGCATTGTATAAACTATCTTTTGAATACCATAATTCCTAGATCCATAGTAAAAGCTCAATAAGCAATTATTGAACAAAATGCCTGAAAACTTTTAACATTTGTAATGAAAAGAAGTGTGTTAGAAATATATGTGTTTATATCTATGATAAACAGAATTCTAAATTTTATTTGTGAAGAAAGACATACAAAATACAAGACCTTGCTGTTTTTATTTATGAACATTTTAATTTACATTAATATTTTGATGGTATTAGTTTTCCTTTTAACACAGCTAAACAAAACTCTTTTTTGGACTCAGAAGTTATCATTATCCTATGAACTGGATGTATTGAATCTTCCCCATATCGTACATTCTCTTCTCCCTGCTGGGATAACTTCTATGAATTTCTAAGAATAGCTTAAAATGTTTTTATCAAGAAGGCTTACCTGAGCTTCTCAATATAATCTTGATAGAAGACTATCTAACTGCTTTAAAATATTAATAAAATGCGGTTTTGTTATTTTTCTCTATCTCTAAACATAATTGAATGTCTTATATAGCTAACGAAGTTAACATATGGAAAAATTAGCACACCACTGATGAAATATATTGTCTTTGTGTTAAAAAACTGAAAATATATATCTTGGCTATGAAGAATTGTGCTGACTTTCTGTGCAAATTCTCACACCAGGCTAGGGTCTCTCTCCTGCCTAAGAGATCTGGTCTAGATATACATACCCTTCTACATCATCCATTTTTCTCTTTACTGAATATTCCCCCCAGAATACAAAATATGCCAAGTCTTTCCTATTCTAAACAACACACCACCCCTACACACAATTGCCTTAGAATCCTCTAGTTCCTGCTTGCTCCTCCCAAACCTTCTGCAAGAATTGTTAGAACTTCCTTTCCACTTCACCAATATTATTCAAACCAAGGCATTCTGGCTTTGATCCTCATGGTGGTTGACTCTATGTGTCAACTTATCTAGGCCATGTATACCCAGGTATTTGATCAAATATTATTACAGATGTTTCTGTGAAGGTATGTTTTTTAGATGAGATAAACATTAAATCAGTAGACTGAGTAAAGCAGATTATCCTCCATAATATGAGCATACCTAATCCAATCGGGTGAAGGCTATAATAAAAACAAGACTGACCTCTCAAGAAAGAAAGGGAATTCTGCCAGCAGACTGTCTTTGGACTGAAACTGCAATGTTGGCTTTTCCCTAGGTCTCCAGCTTGTTGGCTGACCATGCAGATTGTGGACTTGCCATCCTTCAAGATTGTATAAGCCAATTCCATAAAACAAATCTCTCTCTCTCATATATATGTCGTATATATATATGTGTATATATATGTCATATATATGTATATATATGTCATATATATATTTGTATATATATATGTCATATATATGTGTGTATATATATATATGTCTTGTATATATGTATATATATAACTATCAGTGACTTCCTCTCTACCCACTCCTTTCAGTCAATTTTAAACTTCTTCTACTCTTTAAATATTTCTAGTATTGGATTCTTTTAATTAATGTGATTTTCATTAAATCTAATGGATTTCATTGCCACATGCATATGGATAGTTCCAACATCCATCTTAGGTCTCTTTCTGTAAGCATGTTTATATACGCTGGTGTCAAATAATTTGCTTTTCAGTTTTTTCCTCTTCCTATCCTTTTGAATTCTAGAACTCTTTTCACCATCCACTCCAAAATTGAAGTGGAAAACATGTTAGATGGTCACAACTCTTCATCAGTTTCCACCTTCAAACAAATATCAACTTCATTCACTTTTATTTATGTGTTTGTGTGTATTGGAAGAGTTTAAGATTTGTAGTTTTTTTTTCCACAGTCTAAAGATATTTCACTATTTTCTGGACTCTCTTGTTCATTGATAGGTCATCTGCCATTCTTGCTGTTTCTCTTGAAAATAATTCAATAATTCTCAGGCTACATTGAAGATCTTTTTTTTTTGTCTTTGCTTTTAAACAATTTTACCCTAATGCTCTCAAATATAGGTTCTTTTAAAAAATACTGCCAGTTTTGGAAAATGTTATGTCATTATCACTTTAAGTTATTTATCTGTCCTATCCTTTCTCTTTCTGAAATTTTTGACATGTATCTTAGACATTTTCATGAAATTTCATAAATGACTTAGACTCTTTTTAATGAATTTTTATTGTTTTCTATTCATCCTTCAGTGTGAATATTTTCTATTGACCTATTTTTCAGTTTAGTAGCCTATGACTAACAAGCTGATAAATATCTATTAAATCTTTTTTTAAAATAATTTCAACTTTTTTTTAGATTTAGGGAATACATGTGCAGATTTGTTACATGGGCTTATGTGTAATGCTGAGATTTGGAGTATAAATGATCCTTCCACTCAGATAGTGATCATAGTAGCCAACAGGTATTTTTCAGCCCCTGCTCCACACCCTCTCTCCTTCATCTAGTGGTCCCTAGTGTCTATTATTTCATCTTTATGTCTGTGTGTATCCAATGTTTAGCTCCCACTTATAAGTAAAAAAATGCAGTATTTGGTTTTATGTTCCAGTGTTAATTCACTTAGGATAATGGCCTCCAGCTGCATTCATTTTGCAGCAAAGGACATGATTTTATTCTTTTTTTGGCTGCATAGTATTCCATGGAGAATATGTAACACATTGTCTAGTGAATAGTGCTGCAATGAACAAATGAGTACATGTGTCTTTTTTATAGAACAATTTCTTTTCCTTTAGGAATATACCTAGTGATCAGCTTCCTGGGTCAAATGATAGTTCTGTTCTAAGTTATTTGAGCAACCTCCAAGCCACTTTCCATAGTGGATGAAACGATTTACATCCCCACCAGTGGTGTATAAGTAAGTGGTGTACAAGCGTTCCCTTCTCTCCACAGCATTGCCGGCAACTTTTTTTTTTTTTTGACTTTTTAATAATAGTCATTCTGATTGGTGTGAGATAGTATCCCATTGTCATTTTGATTTGCATTTCTGTAATGATTAGCGATGATGAGCATTTTTTCATATGTTTGTGGGCCGCTTGTGTGTCTTCTTTTGAGAAATCTCTGTTCATGTCCTTTGGCCATTTTTTAATGGGGCTATTTGTTTTTGCTTGTTGTGTTGTTTAAATTTCTTAAAGTTTCTGGATATTAAACCTTTGTCAGTTGCATAGTTTATGAATATTTTCTTTCATTCTGTATGTTGTCTGCTTACTCTGTTAACAGTTTCTCTTGCTGCACAGAAGCTCTTTAGTTAAGTCCCACTTGTTAATTTTTGTTTTTGTTGCAATTGCTTCTGAGGTCTTCGAATAAGTACTTTGCCAAGAGTGAAATCAAGAAGAGTATTTTCTAGGTTTTTTCTAGGGTTTTAAAGGTTGAGGTCTTACATTTAAAGTTTTAACCTATCTTGAATTAATTTTTGTATATGGTGAAAGCTGGGGCCCCTGTGTCATTCTTCTGCATGTGGCTAGCCAGTTATCTTAGCACCATTTATTGAATGAAGAGTCCTTTCCCCATTGTGTATTTTTGTTTACCTTGTTGATGATCAGATAGTTGCAGGTGTATGGCTTTATTTTGGGGTTCTCTATTATGTTCCATTGGTCTATGTGTCTGTTTTGAACCAGTACCATACTGTTTTGGTTACTGTGGCCATATAGTATAATTTGAGGTCAGGTAATGTGATGCCTCCAGGTTTACTCCTTTTGCTTAGGATATATTTGGCTATTCAGACTCTTTTTTGGCTCCATATGAATTTTAGAAATTCTTTTTAAGTCTGTGAAAAATAATGCTGGAGTTTAATAGGGATAGTGATGAAACTACAGACTTTTTGGGGCAGTATGGCCATTTTAATGATATTGCTTCTTCCAATCATGAGCATGGACTGTTTTTCTATTTGTTTGTGTCATCTATAGTTTCTTTCAGCAGTGTTTTGTAGTTCTTCCTGTAGTGGTCTTTCACTTTTTGGTTAGATATATTCCTAGGTATTTGTGTGTGTGTGTGTGTGTGTATGGCTATTGTAAATGGGATTGCATTCTTGATTTGGCTCTCAGCTTGAACACTATTGGTGTACAGAAATTCTTCTGATTTTTCTGCATAGATTTTGCATTATGAAACTTTATTGAAGTTGTTCATCAGTTCTAGGAGCCTTTTGGCAGAGTCTTTAAGGTTTTTTTAGGTCTATAATCATATCGTCAGTGAAGAGAGATAATTTCACTTCTTTTTCTATTCAGATGCCTTTTATTTTTTTTCTCTTGCCTGATTGCTCTTGCTAAGACTTCCAGTACTATGTTGAATAGGAGTGGTGAGAGGGAACATCCTGTTCTTAAGGGGAATGCTTCCAGCATTTCCTCATTCAGGATGACATTGGCTGTGGGTTTTCCATAAATGGCTTTTACTATTTTGAGGTATCTTCCTTTGATGCTTAGTTTACTGAGGGTTTTTATCATGAAGGGATGTTGAATTTTAACAAAAGGTTGCTCAGCATCTATCAAGGCTATCATAAGGTTTTTGTTTTTAATTCTGTTTATGTCATGAACACATTTATTTATTTGCATATGTTGAATCAACCTTGCATTCTAGAATAAAGTCTTCTTGATCCTGATGAATTAACTTTTGTTGTGTAGGGATTTTTGCATCCATGTTCATCAGGGATGTTGGCCTATAGTTTTCTTTTTCTATTGTGTCTTTTCCAGGTTCTGGTATGAAGATGGCTTCATAGCATCATCCCTCCTCCTGATGGCTGGATTCCCTCCTCCATTTTTTTTTTTTTTGGAATAGTTTAAGTAGAATTGATACCAGCTTTTCTGTTAAAATTTGGTTGTGAATCCATCTGGTCCAGGTTAGTTGGTAAGTTCTTTATTACTGATTCAATTTTGGAACATGATACTGATCTGTTCTGGGTTTCAATTTCTTCCTTTTTTAATCTTGAGAGATTGTGTGTTTCCAAAAATTAATCAATTTCTTCTATATTTTCTAGTTTGTGTGCATAGAGGTGTTGGTAATAGTCTTTGATAATCATTTGTATTTCTGTAGGATCAGTTATAATGTCCCCTTTGTCATTTTTTATGTGCTCTCTTTTTTTCTTTGTTAATCTAGCTAGTGGTCTATTGATCTTGTTTATTCTTTCAAATAACCAACTTTTGGCTACATTGATCCTTTGTATAGATTTCTAGTTCTCAATTTTATCCACTTCTCTGATTTTAGTTATTTATTTTCTTCAGCTAGTTTTGTTGTTAATTTGTTCTTATTTTTCTAGTTCCTCTAGGTGTGTTTTTGGATCGTCTATTTGAGATCTTTCTATATTATTGATGTAGGCATTTAGCACTATACACTTTCCTCTTAACACTGCTTTTGCTGCATCTCAGATATTTTGTTATGTGATGTCTCTGTTTTCATTAATTACAAGGATTTTTTAAATTTCAGCCTAAATTTCATTGTTTACTAAAAAGTTATTCAGAAGCCAGTTGTTTAATTTCCATGTAATTGTATGGTTTTAAAAGATCTTCTTGTTGTTGATTTCTATTTTTATCTCACTGCAGTCAGAGAGTATGTTGGTATGATTTTAAATTTTTGAATTTATCATGACTTGCTTTGGGGCCAAGAATGTGGTTGATCTTACAGTATGTTCTGTGTGCTGATGAGAAGAATGCATAATCTGTGGTTGCTGGGTGGACTAGTCTGTAGATATCTATTAGGCCTAATCAAGTGTCTAATTTAAGACAATAATTTATTTGTCAGTTTTCTGCCTTGTTTCACCCAGGAGAAACCGCGGCTACTGTAGCCTTCCTCCTGCCCCAGACCTGCAACAGGGAAGAGCACGTTCAGGACCTATTGCTGGGGCACCTTCCACACTTGTCACACAATTCTGGCTGTTTAGACCCCCACCCTACTTCAGAGCCCCAGTGTTCCAATCTCTGTCTTGAGACTAAAATGCCTGTGTGGCCATGCTGCCAGATTGCCAAAGAATGACTTATTTGTATAAACCTGGATTAAAAATGGTATCCTGCTGCCAGACCCAGGTGTGGGAAAATGCCTGTAGATTTTTCTGGTATTCTTCCCGCTCATTGTCTTCAAGCCTCTCCCCAAGTTTGTGCCAGAGCTTGAAAGAAAAGAAGAGTTCTCCCATGGCCTGCATTGCACAGAACGCCGGGGGAAAGGTGGGTCACAGAGAGGGAAACTCTGCCCGTCTTACATTCTGGGGCTTCATTAATTTTTATCAGCCAGATGCTGTCACAGGAGCTGTTTGCCTACCTACTTCTATAGGACTTCTGTGTTCTTTGCTATTGTAGTGGATTCCTGTTTTCCTTCTTAAAGCTCACAGTGTTGATCCTTACACACGATTTTGCTATTTCCAACTGGCTGAGGCATGTTAGAAGCCTCCAGTCCACCATTTTGCCCAATTAAATCCTGAATTTATGTTATTATATTTTTTGTTTTACAGTTTCATCATCTTTATAGATTCCAGGTTTCTGATGAAATTTTATATTTTATCATCTTTTGATCTTATCATCTATTTGAATATATTAATCACATGTGTATTAGGCTCTTCTTGCATTGCTATAAATAAATATCTGAGACTGAGACTGGGTAATTTATTTTTTAAATTTTGTTTTGCCATTCTGAATTATTTTATTATTTTATTTTATTTTATTTTATTTTATTTTATTTCAAGTTCCAAATTACACATGCAGGATATGCAGGTTTGTTACATAGGTAAACGTGTGTCATAGTGGTTTGCTGCACCTATCAACCCATCACCTAGGTATTAAGCTCAGCATGCATTAGCTATTCTTTTCTGATGCTCTCCCTTCCCCCAACCCAGCCCCACAACAGACCCCAGTGTGTGTTGTTCCCCTCCTTGTGTTCATGTATTCTCATTGCTCAGCTCCCACGTATAAGTGAGAACATGCAGTGTTTGTTTTTCTGTCCCTGCATTAGTTTGCTGAGGATAATGGCTTCCAGCTCCATCCATGTCCCTGCAAAGGATGTGATCTCATTCCTTTTAATGGCTGTATAGTATTCTATGACATACATGTACCATATTTTCTTTATCTAGTCTATCATTGTTGGGCATTTGGGTTGTTCCCATGTCTTTGCTATTGTGAATAGTGCTGCAATGAACTTGATATGTGTGCACTTATCTTTATAATGGAATGATTTATATTCGTTTGGGTATATATCCAGTAATGGGGTTGCTGGCTCAAATGGCATTTCTTGTTCAATTCTTTGAGGAATCTTTACACTGTCTTCCATAATGGTTGAACTAATTTACATTCCCACTAATAGTATAAAAGTGTTCCTATTTCCACACAGCCTCTCCAGAATATGTTGTTTCTTGACTTATTAATAATCACCATTTTGACTGGTGTAAGATGGTAGTTCATTGTGGTTTTGATTTGCACTTCTTTAATGATCGGTGATGTTGAGCTTTTTTTCATATGTTTCTTGGCTGCATCCATCTAACAAAAGTCTAATATCCAGAGTTTATAAGGAAGTTAAACAAATGTACGAGAAAAAACAAACAACTCCATTAAAAAGTGGGCAAAGGACATGAACAGACATTTCTCAAGACTGGGTAATTTATAAAGAAAAGAGGTTTAACTGGTTCATGGTTGTGCAGGCTATACACAGGAAGTATGGTTCTGGCATCTGCTCAGTTTCTGGGGAGGCTTCAGGGTGCTTACAATCTGGCAGAAAGCAAGGCAGGAGCAGGCACTTTCCATGGCAGAAGCAGGAGCAAGAGAGAGTGTGTAGGGGTAGGGAGAGAGGCTACACACTTTTAAATGACCAGACCTCCAGAGAACTCAGAGTAAGAGCTGACTTATCACCAAAAAGATGGCCAAGCCATTCATGAGGAAACCACCCCCATGACCCAAATACTTCCCATTAGGGCCCCACTTCCAGCATTGGGGATTATATTTCAATGTGAGATTTGAGCAGGGACAACTATCCAAAGTTTGTGTATGTGTTATTTCTAAGTTTGTGTTTGATAACTCTAAATGTGTACCAGTGTGTTGGTCCTTAATCTGTTGTCTAGTTTTGTCATCTTCTTTTTATAACTTGTTTTTCTTGATAATATCATACAGATTGCCATATTATTATATGAATAATTAGAGTTTCTGGATGATTTAAAGGTGATTTTCTTTTAACTCTAACAGAAAGAGTAGAATTTTTTATTATTTATTTATTAATTTTTTTAGATAGAGTCTCACTCTGTTGCCCAGGCTGGAGTGCAGTGGCATGATCTCAGCTCACTGCAACCTCCACCTCCTGGGAACAAGCGATTCTTGTGCCTCTGCCTCCCCAGTAGCTAGGATTACAGGCGCACACCACCACATCCAGCTAATCGTTGTATTTTTAGTAGAGATGTGGTTTCACCATATTGGCCAGGTTTGTCTCAAACTCCTGACCTCAAGAGATCTGCCCACCTCAGCCTCTGAAAATTATATTAATCCAATCTTAGGTAGCAGTGATTAAATTCTGGGCTTTCAATGTATGAAGTGATCTATTTTGAGTTTTCCCTTGCTCCTATGGTGCATCCTTTCAGGTGACCATACTGGTAGCCCAAGTTTTATTTTTCTCCCTCATTAAATTCTTGATTGAAAAATGATTTCAACAATGTACAAGATGGTTTTCATAATGATAATGTGATATTTACTGTAATAACCATGGAAGCCCACTTTGAATAAGGCAGCAGTGAAAGCAAAGAGGAGCATTAGCTAAAGAATCAAGTAGAGGCACTAAATCAAAGGGATTTTTCTGTTTTCTCGTGAGAATAAATTCTCCTCAGAATAAATAATATTGTGTGGTGTTGGGAGCATAAAGAAAAAGACACAAAGGAGAAGCTTTGATGGAAAATTTAAGTAAAGATTAGCGATACAGTTGATAACTTTTATATCCAAAATTAAACTATCACTTTATCCCCCTAAGACAACAAGAAAAAAAAAAATCCTCAGAGTTCCACTTTCTACGTCTGCCAGAAACGTCCCAGGAAAAAAAATTTCCTACATTGCATTATTTCAGAAGCAGTACAGAGTTGTCTCCAGGGCTTGTAGAGCAATTGCCAGCTCTACAAGCCCTAAAAACAACTGTAAGACTTGAGAGATATCTTAAAACAAGGATAAGACGTACTCTAAAACAAGCATAAGAGATATCCTAAAACAAGGGTACAAGCCCTAGACAACGCTAGACATGGGCCTCTTACTCTGTTTTCTTTCATAGAAATATATACCTATGTATTTATTTTGTGTGTATGTGTGTGTGTTCTGTCTGCTCAAGTTGGAAAATAAGCTAAATATATGAAAATGATGGTATTAGACTAGTTTTTAATCAATGAACAATATCTACGTTGTAGAGATTCAGTAATGTTAATAAAATTTCTCTGTCCCAAAATATGTATATAAGCACTGATAATAATACTAATTTGCACTCCTAGGAATGGTTTTCTTTGGGAATTGAAGATTCTTTTGGTCAGCAAGAATCTTGATAATACTCCTGAGAAATACGTGTTACTATTGAACAGCTGGCATTATAAGGGGAATTATCTTGCTTCCTAAATTACTAGCAGTTAAGAGAGCACATGCTACTGAGACTGAAAAGAAATGTGCCTCAAGTGGAGAGTAGAATTACTAGAAAAGAAGGGAACAATGACAAAGACAACTTGATCCATTTCAAAATTCTGCTTAGGGCTGCCTCTGAAAAATGATCTTTTATTGACATACTATAATTCTCCAGTCTTAAAATATAGTTTTAGAGGAAAGAACATCATACATCTAAGAAGACACCACTCCTGGATTTACATAGAAGCAATGAAGGGTAGTTCCAATCTTATTTCTTTAAAGAGTTAGTGACCATCTTCCTCAGCCCTTTGACTCTTATATTCATGATGATTTGTACAAAACAGATGATTCCTTGGTAAAGAACTTTGCCTATTCTTTACTAAAAACCTTGCTATAATCTTTTTCTACATTAAGAGGCTTGAAGTAGTCAACACTCTTTTAGAATTCATTAAATACAACCTGTACTATAACTTACTTAATATTTTTCTCTAACTTGATTTAAATTGACCCAATTTCTTTACATAGTCTTATCCTAAGACTTAAGGCTTATGTAATTTCTGTAAAATTATTAGCCGTGTATGTGTGTTTGTACCTGTGTATGTGTGTGGCAGGGCATGGCTTATCATGCATATATATGTATGTATATATGTATCTATAGTGGGCAAATTAAAATATATAACATATATAAACTAAGAATTGTTATATTATGAAATTATAGACTATATTGAGAGGTGAAACTGGCTGGGCTTCTGGGTCAGGTGGAGACTTGGAGAACTTTTCTATCTAGCTAAAGGATTGTAAACACACCAGTCGGCACTCTGTGCCTAGCTAAAGGTTTGTAAATGCACCAATCAGCACTCTGTAAAAACGGACCAATCAGCACCCTGTAAAATGGACCAATCAGCAGGATGTGGGTGGGGCTAAATAAGGGAATAAAAGCTGGCCACTTGAGCCAGGAGAGGCAAACCGCTGGGATACCCTTGCATGCTGTGGGAGCTTTGTTCTTTCACTCTTCACAGTAAATCTTGGCTGCTGCTCACTCTTTGGTTCTGCATTACAGCAAGGGTCTGCTGCTTCACTCCTGAAGTCAGCTAGACCATGAACCCACCAGGAGGAACAAACTCTGGACACACCATCTTTAAGAACTGTAACACTCACTGGGAGGAGCCACAGCTTCATTCTTGAAGTCAGCAAGACCAAGAACCTACCGGAAGTAACCAATTCCAGATACAATGTCATACTACATTTCAACAAACATTGTGCTACAATACAATGCATTTAAAATATTTGGACTTTTTCAAACTTTCAACTTTTAGAAGACTAACATTTTCTTTAAAATATATGTTGCTTTTCTCTGTTATTTATGGGTTATTTAGCCAACAATTTGTGATTGAAGCTGTGTGTCCAAGCAATTGGAGCTTCTGAATTTAATAAAAACAAATCTTCACCATTTGGTTTCCATTATTTAGCACAATGAAGTAAATACTGTGCCTTTAAATGCTTTTTTGACATACTATTTAAATGTTTTATTGACATATTATTTAATCTGTGTAATAATACTATGTATAGGTCATATAACACCTATTTTAAAATGAAGAAATAAGGCCCAGAGAATTTAAATAAATCACCCAAGGTCACACAGACAATCAAAAGCAGAGCTAAATTTTTAACCCAGGTTTATCTAACTCCAAAGCTCATGGTCTTAATCACACTGTAGTTTACATTGCATTATTTAAATGAGTGAGCATCATTATTAAGTGAATGAGTATATAACTTATTTTCTTTTAGCCATTTCAGGGAGCCTGTTTTCCATCACATGGAAGATAATTTCACAATAATATGACTATTCTTCTCTCATAGCCATAAGATGATGAAAATAAATCATTTAAAGTGCATTTTCTTACCTAGAAATGTCTTTTGTTTGGCAGAATGATTAAAATAACTGTCACTTATTCACTTAGGAAAATAAAAGTAGTTGAAGGGGAGAATAACTTTATAAAGTGATATTTTCAGCAGCAAGGGTGGCCTCTTTTTCTTCTCTTCAACACAATTATTTCTAGTTAATTTTACTGAGGGAGGGAATTTCATGAATTTTGTACTCTGTATTTAGTGACCAATATGTTTCTCAAGGTGCTAATTTTCTGTTAATGAGCAATTGCTGTGGTTGGTTGGCATTATAAACTGAAGTTTATAAACTACTTTAAAAAATTAGTTAAAATATCTGATTGTGATCCTACCAGAAGGTAACATTAGAAACCTATTGAAATGATCCGTAGCTTTATTTTTTTTGTTAAGCATAATTGTATTGCTTGATAATATGTACTAATCATCAAGAGTCATAGTAAACATATAATCTACTCACCAACTGAAATCTTATGGCTCAGGAAAATTTTTTGTTTTGTTTTAATAAGCAGTTTCTTTGCAAATTAAGATATTTTTAAATTGTCGGGATAAATATAATGGGGACTATTCTCATACATTCATACATACTAAAAACTGCTTTAGGCAATTTTTTGAAAATATTTCCACATTATATGCAAGCTTTGGAAAACAGGAACCACCGCTATAAGCATATCTGCTATGTTAGAACATGAAGCAAAGGTTAATTTCCAATTTAATGTTTCCTCCCAGATGGAGCTTCTACCTAGCTTGTCATCAACATCTCCATTTAGTGTGACCAAAATGAATAGTGACCAAATCAGAATTCTAGAGTTTATAGAAATGTTGAGTTCATCCTCCAGCCTCTAAGCTGAAATGTGGTTAATTCTCCCCTGGCCCAAGTCTCTCTCAATGTAATGCTGTTCATTTCCCAAAGGTTTCTTCTTCTTCCCTTATATAAACATGACTGAAGCCTACAATGATACACTGTAGGAGCATCCCCACTGATGCAATGTTGGAAGGAAGCAGAGATTGGCACCTTATATCCTTATTTTAATTATTAGATTTTGGAGAAATCCCTATTCTGAGCTTCTCCACAAAAAGATCTCAGGTGCTTTTCTTGCCTCGCAGCACCAATTCCTCTTCTGTTAATATCACATATATTCACTTGAGGAAAACTCTCCTCCCAGACATGATTTAGGTGGAATTGCTCCGATTTCCACTTCCTTCACTTGAAAGGAAAACACACACACCAAGACCTAAAAAACTAGTGCTTAAGTGCTTGGCAGACAAACCCAAATTTGCAGGCTTCTAAGAGCTCACATTCTGGATCTGACCGCCCCAAGATCCTAGTTTACAGGTAGTCATATGTCACCTTCAGGATATTCGCCACAGCTAAATACCACCTGTTCTGTAATTTACTTACTCTTTTTTCTCTAATTTGACTTTGTTAAGTAAACTTTCTATTTTGAAATGATTTTAAATTGACATGCATTGGTAGGAAATAATATAGAGATGCATTTGTAGGAGATAATAACATGCATTTGTAGGAAATAATATAGAGATGTTTTTACCTGGTTTCCCTCAATGGTAGCATCTTGTAAAACTATAGTACCACATGCCAACGAGGATATTGACATTAATACAGTCTACCAATCTTAGTTGGATTTTGCTGCTACCCAGTTTTACATGAGCTTTGGATACCAGATACATAGAATGACATGTCCTCATTTGCATCAATTAGGATTTGTCTGGCACAAATATGAGCATCTTTGCTCATTGGTATGCATTTGTTTTCTAAGTCTCAGTAGATTATACATTTTTAATTTTTTATCACTGACTTCTAAGTTTTAGTCTGATAGATTTTCCTAGTTACTTTCTTGCTGTTTGGTAACTATTGATCAGAGTGGCTAGTCACCATAAAGAGTGCTGTTGCAAAAAATTTAAAAAGACATATCTCCTCAAGAAAACACAGTGGGGATAAGACTTTGCTAGCATAATATAGTTGGATTACAACCCCATTTGTCTACACTGCCAGTTAGCCTTGTGCTGGGCATGGCTTTCACAATCGTATGTGACAATAGTGGGATTCTGCAGTTATTGTACTCCTTTTTTTGGTTGATTTTGTCTTATTTTCCACAAGTATTGATATATAGCATTTTCTACAAAATTCAATTCTAAGTATTTTAATTTTTATTATGTTCATCTCTGATCCACTGGTTACCAAAGATATGTATTTTAAAATTTCCAACTTTATAAAGCTAATTTATTCTTTGTTAAATAAGGTTTCTAACTTAATTATGTTAAAATCAAAGAACTTGGTCTATATAACAGCAATTCTTCAAAATTAATTTAGTCTTGAGATAATGTAGTGCATTCTACTTTCTTGTATTGCAATCTAGCACATGTTCAGATTTTGAAAATGTCGAAGCATTCTTAAAGTTTCTTTCTGTGTTTTGATGTCCACTAAACCAAATTTGTTAGCTTTGTTACTCACATTTTCTAAATCTTTACTAAACATTGCTTTCTTGCCCTTGCAACAGAGAAATAACTGTTAAAATTTTTCATTATGAAAATTCTGTTTCTCCTTGTAGTTCTATTAATAATAATTTGTGCATCACCTATTAATTTTTACATCATACATTTTGAGGCTCTTTTATTGGTGCATGGAAGTTTACAACTGTAATATATGGAGATCTTTTACATTATACAAGTACTCTTTTTATCCTTAAAAGTGCTTTCTTAAAAATTCAAGTAAATTTTAATTTTAACATGATATTAAAGTCACCCATATTAACAGCCACCCCAGATTTATTTGACTAGTATTTGCTTCGTATATCTTTTTCCATTCTTCTATTTTCAGACTCCAAGTGTTTTATGATTCAGGTGTGCCTCTTCTTTATAACTTGTGACCTACTTTTTAAAATCCAGAGCGCAACTGCTGTTTTTAGATGGATATATTTAGTACATTTATATTCATTGTGAACACAAATATATTTAGACTTACATTACTATTTAATTTTGTGTTTTTATTTGTCATACATTTTCTCCGCTGTTTCTCTCTTTCCCTTCCTTGCCTTTTCTTCCCTTCTTTTGTAGTAATTTTTTTCCCTTCTGCCATTTCTCCCCTTCCCTATTTTATACATCATAAATGCATTTCTATATTTCTAGTATCTATTCTTGAAATTTTATAATACATATTACTCTCAGTATAATTTTAATTTTTTTGTAAATAATTTTTCTCTTATCTAGTTTTTTCAAAGATATATAAAATATATTCAATAGCTTCGCTATGATGTGTCTAGGTCTAATTTGTTTAATGTTTAATTAGGAACAATTCTATATATATATACACATTTAGAAAAGTAGCAGAATGAACACTTATGAATTATAAATATTCCCAAATTTGCCAATTACCAACTAATAGCCAATCTGCTTCACCTACATACTCCTCCCTTTCTTCAGATTATTTTGAAATGAATGCAAGATATCATATAATTTAATTTGCAAGTTATCAATACAGCATATTTTTTAAATAAAAGCTATCATATCCTTAACACACATAAAATTATAGAAATGATTTAATGTTGTCAAATATTTGGTCAATTTAGAAGTCCCTGGTTGTTTATCTGTCTTACATACACACACACACTCACACCGATGCATGCACATAAACACACACACACGCACACGAGCGCGCGCACACGCACACACACACACACACATATTCCTTGATCAAATCCAAATCCAAATGAAGTCCATATATTATATATTAAAACCAGATAATATGTGTCTTAAGCCTCAACTTCCTAAACTATTTTCTTTGAGACATAGTCACAGGTAGATTTAAAAATTAGAACTGAATGCAGTCATCTTCTTTGTTATTCTTATTTAAAGGTAATTCACACTTTTCCCAGTAAATATTATGCTTGTTACTTTTCAATAGGTATTCTCTATTAAGTTAATAGTGTTTCCTTCTATTTCTTATTTGCAATTAATTATTTTATTTAAAAACCATGAATTGTATTGAATTTTGTATCACATTTTATTGCATCTCTCTTTTCTATTATTGAGATAAACATGGGTATTGCTTTTATATCTGCTGATACATTTAATTACATTAATAGATTTTAAAAATACAAACATAGCTAGCTGAGTTGCTGAGTGTGTGTGTCTGTGTGTGTGTGTGTTGGTCTTGTTCTTTAATTTCTCTGAGTCTTTTTCTATTGGCTATTGTTTGTTCTCTTTCATTTTGTCTTATTTCCTTCTGTGCCTCATTAGGTTTCATTTTATGTTAAACTTTAAAAAATAATTTGTACAAACAATTTCATTCTAATCTTATGTTATTTTTCTCCAGGCAGGATTTTCCTTTGCTTCTGTCAGTTATTGTGGGCATTAGCAATCTGGAACCACCATAATCTAATCTCAGGACTTGAGCTTATCTGGTCCACCCAGTTGACTCAAAGCTGAACTGTGTCTAGGTGAAGTTGGCTAGCTTCCAATTCATTTTTAACTCTTGTTGGGTTGGAGCCCTGCATTTAAAAATTAATTTCTGAATTTCCTATTATAAATGTTGATTTTTAAAGTTTCCTTTAGAAGCAATGACACTCATGAATTATACTGTTTATTTTAATTTTTGACATTTTGTATATGTAATACTTTTCTTTCCTTATACAATATAAATTTTGGTCTCAGGAGCAAACGGAAAACTCATATTGAAATGTTTTAATTGTAAATACAGTCACACACCACATAATGATGTTTTGGTCAATAATAGACTGCGTATACAATTGTGGTCCCATAAAATTTTAATAGAACCTAAAAACTTCTATTGCTTGGTGGCCCTGTAGCCATCATAAAGTGTAGTGCAACACATTACTCATGTATTTGTGGTGATGCTGGTGTAAAAAACCTACTGCACTGCCAGTCATACAAAAATATATCACATAGAACAGTACATAATACTTGATAATGATGCTAAACACATGTTACTAGCTTATGTATTTATAATACTATACATACTTTTATCATTATTTTAGAGTGTGTTTCTTCTACTTATTAAAAGGAAAAGTTAACAGTAAAACAACCTCAGGCAGGTCCTTCAGGAGGTATTTCAGAAGAAGGCATTGTTATTTTAGGAGATGACAGCTCCGTATATGTTACTTCCCCTTAAGACCTTCCAGTGGCACAAGATGTGGAGGTGGAAGACAGTGATATTGTTGATCCTGACCCTCTGTAGGCCTCGGCTAATGTGTGTGTTTGTGTCTTAGTTTTTAGCAAGAAAGTTTAAAATGTCAAAAATTTTTAAAAGTTAAAAATAGAAAAATGCTTGTAGAATAAAGACATAAAGACTATTTTGTACAGCTCTGCAATGTGTGTGTGTGTGTTTTAAGTTGTGTTATAGCAAAATAGTAAAAAATAAGAAATTTTTTAAAATTAAAAAGTTTTTAACGTGATAAAGTAGACTGGGCACAGTGGCTCATACCTGTAATCCCAACACTTTGGAAGGCTGAGGTGGGAGGATCACCTGAGCCCAGGAGTTCACGACCAGCCTGAGCAACATAGTGAGATTCTGTCTTTACAAAAAAGTAAAACAATTCACTGGGCATGAGGGTACATAGCTTGTAGTGTCAGCTACAAGGGAGGATGAGATGGGAGGATTGCTTCAGCCTGGGAGGAAGAGGCTGCAGTGAGCCATGATCTCACTGCACTCTAGCCTGGATGACAGAGGGAAACCCCGTCTCAAAAAAAAAGTTACAATAATCTAAAGTCAGTTCATTATTGAAGAAAGAAAAATAGTGCTTTAATAAATTTAGTGTAGTCAAAGTTTACAGTGTTTATAAAGACTGCAGGAGCATACAGCAATGCCCTAGGCTTTCACATTCACCCACCACTCACTCACTCACTGACGTACCTAGAGCAACTTCCAGTCCTGCAAGCTCCATTCGTAGTAAGTGCCCTATAGAGGTGTGTCATTTATTGCTTTTATACTGTATTATTACCATATCTTTTAAATTATTTTTATATTTATAGACACAAATACTTACCATTGTGTTACAACTGCCTACAGTATTCAGTACAGTCACATGCTGTACAGGTTTGCAGCATAGAAACAAAGGGCTAAACCTGATAAGCCCAAGTGTGCCGTAGGCTAGTCCATCTAGGTTTGTAAGTACACTTCATAATGTTTGCACAATGACTAAATCACCTAACATTTCTCAGAATGCATCCCTCTTGTGAAGTGATGCATGACTGTAGTTTGGATATGTCTGTATATTATCAATTAGGAAAGCCTTATATCCCCAATAGTGTCAAAAATAATATGGATAAAGAAAACAAAACTGTTTAAAGTCATATAAAAAGGTAAGCTTTAGCAGCTTAAACCCTTTCATAGTAATGGATGTTGCAAAGTTCTCTGTTGATAGATGTCATTGTGGAGATGTTTATGGAACTACTTGTATCTAGTAAAAGTTACCAAAAACCATGTTTTGTTAAACTTTTATATTTACATACAGAGCCCCTTGCATCTTCCATTATATTTTTCATAGAGAAGTATTGTTATAATTGTATTCAACATTATATTTTGTGATATTTAAAGCCATCACACATTGATGTTAATAGTTAAATGACATCTACTACCCTTTGTACTGCTGTCTTTCCTCCTTATTGCTGCTACATGCAGCACTTTCTCCCAGATTTTTTTTCTCTTGCAAAGATTGTCTTTTCTGTGAGTATTTTTAGATGGTAAACTAACATTTTTTTGGACTGAGATTGTATGTAGGCGGGTATAGATTATTAACTTGACAGTTGCTTTCCTTCAGCACTTTAAGATACTATTTCAAAGTCTTCAGCCATCTTCAATTGCTTATTAGAAAAAAGTCTGAATGTCAGTATAACTGTCCTCGTTTTTTTTTCTAGTAGCCCATGAGATTATCTTTTTTATGCTCTTCTGTAATTTCAATGCTGTGTGTCTTGATATAAAATCATGGTTTGATTTTGTTTGACTATGTGTGTATGCGTTAATTAATGCCAGAAAATTCTTGCTTTCTTTTTTTTTTTTGGTGGGGGGTGTACTTCTTCGATTGAATTTTTTTCTGTTCTCACTTCCTGGAGGATCACAGTCAATTATTCACATTTACTAAGTTATTTTTCTATATTTCATCTCTTTTCCTTTAGTGTTATACTAATCTCCCTAAACCCTAATTTCGTTTTCCACTATTCTAGTTTACTCTTTAAGCCATCTTTTACTTTTTACTTAGATAAAAATGTATAATTCTATTTTTAGAGTTTTAAGATTGATTTTTATTCTACCATAAATATTCTGCTTTTAAAATACCTTTCTTCTACTCTAGTACATCAGAAATTAAATGTGCTGTACTTTTTAGATCTGTGGACTGTTTTCCTTGTTGTTGAATTTCCTAATGTGCTGTGCAATTTCTGTTTGTGAATTAATCTCCAGAGTTTTCTTCTGTTGCATGCCTTATTGTGGAAACATGCTCCTAAGAGGACCCTTTGGAGTTCCAAAAAAGTTTTATATTAGTTTATTTATTTGGGATTTGCATACTTTGGGGTAAATTCAAATTTGGATTCAATTTCTTGATAATTATTTAGGCCCAGGCTTAAGATATTTTATAAATATTGTTTTCTATTTATGGCAGTGCTTTCCAGTTCTCCTGCATGAATGAGTTGTAGTTCCCTGCCTCATACTGGACTTCAAGCTTCAATGCTTATCTCTGCTCTAGTATTAAAACATCAAAGCATGTATTAAATCCAGGTACCCCATGGGCACATAGCATCATGTCTATTTTGCCATTACTGGTTTCCTCTTTATTTCTGGCTTCTGGTAATGCTTTTTTCTTGGCCGAGCTCTAGACTACCAATAGTCTTAAATGTTTAATTTTCATTTGCTCCTTTGTTTATATTCTCATTTATAGCAGCAGTTGGTGTGTAGATGGGCAGAATTCCCATATTTTGTAATGAACAGAATTACTTATCTATTTTTCATTTACTTTTAAAAAAATATGTTCTGTGATAAGCTCTCAGATTAAAGAAACAATCCCTGATCTTCAACTTACTCTAATGGACAAGACAACCTAAATAATTGCAAGAATACAATGTGGTAGGTACTATGACAGGGGCTGGAAAGGTTTCTACATAGCAGAGCCTCCTGGGTCAAGCTGAGGAGTGTAACAGAAAAGATTTTCTAACAAGTAAGTTTTTTGAATTGAGGATAGTGATGTTTTCCCAGGGAATGGAGAGCTATGAGAAGGTTTAAGTCAGAAAATGATAGGTTACATTTTGGATATGCTGCACTTTAGGCCGTGGTAGGATATTTAAGTGGAAATGATGGTAGGTTTGAGCTTGGGAGAGCAGATTACAGGATCATCTCTCTGTGGCAGTTGTACCTTTGGAGTGTGAGGTAAGTAGGAAAGAGAAAAAGAATGATCCAGACAGAGTGCAGAGTGGTAGTGATGAATGAGATTTTCCCAGTGTCTTTGAGTATAGCTGGAGGGAACCTGCAGACTGTGGAGAAAATGGATACAAAACAAAAGAAAATGTGCATTCTGTATTTGGATCTCGTCTAATGTTTTTGAACCATGTGAATAATAAATTAAATTTCTATAATTTAGATTTGTTCAAATCTAAATTGAGTATAGCATTCTTGGTACAAAGCTATATAGGGCTCTGACTCGAAAGAGTTATTTTGAGAGACATATATTTGAGAGGACTTATCTGGAATCAGATAAGCATATTTTCATATGATTGCCTGTATATGGGAACAATGAAGCAAAGGGAAAAAGATTATTTAAACTTGATCCGTGATGGCCACTAAAATGTGTATGCTGATTTAAAGAGACACTGTGAAAATGATTTCAGGCCAGAAAATTGTCAGTTCTAAGAAAATGCAGTGCTCTGGATGGGATGTACTATCAAAAGGGTCAAATCTATGCAACAATTGTGTAAGTTAACTAAATCGAATAAGACTAAAATATTTCCCTCGAATGTAACAAGCTGAAAATTAATTTAGTCCTTCCTGCATTCAGGCAACTGCAGGATTCCTTGACATACTGAAGTCATTTTTGCACACAGAAAGGGAAGTCTAGTTCGCTTGGATGGATTTTAGAGTTTCACTCAGATTTACAGGCCGATGCCAACCCTAGAGATTTAGCTTTGTTGTGGGACACAAAACAAATGTGGCTTAGTCACCAGAACATATTAATTCCTACAAAAATTCTGGTATATTTTCAGAAAGTACTGTGCCAAATTCTAGATATAAGGCCTTTAATGGGGCTTAGGGAATGACACATTAATAGTGTAAAAATGGACAGTTTCAGGTATAGAGAAATATCCATATTTGTATATGAAGAAAGTACCTGCTCACAAAGTTGTTATTGGAATCAGTGGCAAAAAAAGTAGACACTAGAGTGAATATATGGCAGGGTAGTCAGTGGAAATTGGGTAGTAAATCTCTTACTACAGTGTCCAAGGGCCCATGCACTGTTTCAACAGGCCATCTGCTGAGCGGCAGGAGAGGGAAACTTGGGGGCTCATAAACAGCTCAGTAAAAGCTGTCTAGACACTTTTCAGTCAACAGTAAATAAGCACTGACTACATTAATAGCACTAGGAGGTCCTCCAACTCTTATTGTTGTTGAAGGTTACCAGGTCTTAATAAAAGTAGGTGGTGTAATCAGCGTTCTGTTAATAGAATCCGTTCTTAAAGTTTAGACCTGAGATGGACTTAGGAATCTGCAATTAACTCAATTGCCACTTGAATGAAAACTCCAGGTAAGTAACAGGGCAGTCTTGTTTGGAGGAAAGCCAGTTTGGGTAGTTAGCTGGAGACTACACCCGGACTTTTGCTTCTAGCATTGCAGGGTGGTAACAAAAAGTATCTTTATCACAGAGAGTAAGGGGTGAGTAAGGAGAGAGAGATGATCCAGTGCTTTACTACGATGTGATGAAGGTGTTAGTGACTCACTGACACCATAGAAGCCTTGTCTTGGGCAGGAGAAAGGGGATATTATTGAGTGGGGTGTTGGCACTAAAAACAACATCTTGGCTTCCAAGGAAATTTTTCCATTTTCCCATATGCCAAAGAGGGTTTTATCTGATTACTCAGCTTCTTCTTTCCCTTCCTTCTCAGCACTGAATATGGTAATGTTTGCTACTCTAGATTCTTTCTTTGATTTTTTGATGCTGTAAATTGAAATAAAATGGAGAAAAGGATCTATGACTCTAAAAAGTAGATGAAACCAAGAGTGACTTAAGATAAGAGGTTAAATTGATATACACAATGAAATACAGAGAAGGTGCAAAGTCATTAGGAGGAGGAGAGAAAGAGAGACTGGGGGAAACTTAGGAGATGTTTTTTACAAAGAATACGTTAGTGGAGTAACTACAGAGACCACGAGAAATAGTTGGGACAGGATAGAAAATACATACAAGTGGCTGATCATATTTTCCAAAGATGGCTGCAACTTCTTGCATCCCACATGCTCTTCTGCAATATGACCTTGGCATTACCCTCATCAAGAGGGGGAGCCACATGTCTAATCTTCTGGGATCTGGACAGGGTCTTGTTGCTGTCTGACCAAGAGTACGATACAAAGGATGTCATGTGACTTTTGAGGCTACATCAGAAAAGGCTAAGTGGCTTCCACCTATTACTCTGGGGACATTGTTCAGAGTCCAGCTGCTCCCTCTCAGAACCCAGCTGCCATGCTCTGAGAAGCCCAACCACACAGGAAAGCAGTAATTTTTTGCCCAGTAGGAAATCTCAGCTAGGCCTAGTCTTTGAGTCATTTTAATGAAGGCATTAGATATGAGAAGCTTCCAGGTTATTCTAGCCCAAAGCCAACTGGGCATCAAGTCATTGTGGAGCAGATACACCCATCCTTACTTCGCCCATTTGAATTCCTGAACCACAGAAACTATGAGCCTAATAAAATAACTGTTTTTATGCCACTGATCTTGAGGTAGTTTATTATGCAACAATAGATAACAGGAAGAGTAATGCTGCACATCTGTATTCCCCTAATGATCTTGATGAGATTTAGTAAAGATGGAATTATCCTTTAATTACATTTGGTTGTTGAACAGTGCTTATTGAAAATATTGTAGTTTGGAAGGCTGCACTAATCAGAACGGTTACTAATGTAGTGAACTTGATTTTCAGTTCAATTCAACTAGCATATGATTAGTGATAAACATGTAAAAAGCACTCACTAGACATTCTGATCTTGATTTTATTATTTTATTATCTATTTAAAAATCAAATTTCTAACCAAGAAATATTCTTGACATAGTGGTCCTTGAAGGACCAACTTTGAGCTTTAAGATCTAGAAAAAAAATGCTTACTGATATGGTTTGGCTTTGTGTCCCCACCCAAGTCTTATCTTGTAGCTCCCATAATTCCCACGTGTTGTGGGAGGGACCCAGTGGGAGATGACTGAATCATGTGGGAAGGTCTTTCCTATGCTGTTCTTGTGATAGTGAATGGATCTCACAAGACCTGATGGTTTTAAAAATGGGAGTTTCCCTGCGCAAGCTTTTTTAAAATTTTTGCCTGCTGCCATCCACGTAAGATGTGACTTGCTCCTCCTTGACTTCTGCCATGATTGTGAGGCCTCCCCAGCCATGTGGAACTGTAAGTCCAATAAACCTCTTTCTTTTGTAAATGTCTCAATCTCTGTTATATCTTCATCAGTGGCATTAAAATAAACTAATATACTTTGGATCACACAAATATCTTTTTGGTGCAAACCCATTATCAAAGTCTATGATATATTACTGATGAAAGAATTCTAGTAAATGTGTTTCAGAAAACTAACTTTGGACCACCTCATTATGCATACAAGTAAAATTTGTGAAAATTTATGTGTCTATGGAAAATCACTTCACATTTTTCGTGAATCCTAAACTTTTACTAAAATATATTTGTGGTATTAACAATTATTTTCAAGTAGTTCTTCGATTTTCTCAACATGGATTTTTTTTTTCCAGTTGCTTTTCACTCTTTCTAGCAGCTGGTCTGGTCTGCTGTTACCTGAGGATTTGAACCTTCACCAGCTGCTGTAAAAAGATTGTGATCCAGTCTATGTAACTCTGGTTGAGGAAGACTGTTCTAATCAAAAGCCTAAATTGGACTTTATTTTTCCCAAAATCCGGAGAGCAATTGGCACGTCATAGTGAATTTTGAAACTCCTGTTATATCCCAAGGTCTCATAAATAAAATTTTCTACTACTATGTCCCCAAATAAATGGTTATTATTACATTTTAATGTATCTTAATGGGCACACCAAGAACTAAATATGAAATCATTCTATTCTGCCCAAGAATATCAAGATGAATCAGAAACCAGTCTTATATGACCATAGAGGATGTTAAAGAAAGTTCTTTCTTCAAATGAAAATGTATTTTTTTTATCTGTATAGCAAGGTCAAACATCTTACGGAATATAAGCTTCTTTCAAATCAGAATTACAGAAATACAAAACTCTTCTTCAAGTTAATTTTTTAAATTTCCTCCAAAGTTTGCATAAAGCAAGATGTAACAACTCTTTGAAAGCAGGGTTCTTACTGTTACTTCAATTTAGCACCACATCTGGCTCATAGTAGGCCTCAAATTTTTTTCCTTAAAATGAATTGAGTAGCACATAGAGCTAAATCCTGAGTTCCACATGTGAACAATATTGACTAATGTGAGAGCCAGGCACTGCCCCCAGGCCCTGCCAATAAAAAGTAAATCACTTCCTTTTTTACTGGAAATTTCAAAACTGTAAGCCTCTAACTTAGTACCCATAGTATACATATAAAATTTTAGTTACACTGCACTAGAAACCTGGAGAATCCCTAAAATCTCATTGTTTTTGTTGTTGTTGGTGGTGTTGGTGTTAGTTATTTGGTATTTAATGATAAATATGCTAACAGATGTTTAGTCCTCTTTTTCTTTTCTTTTTTTAAATTTAAGTTCCTGAATACATGTGCAGACATGCAGGTTTGTTACACAGGTAAATGTGTGCCATGGTGGTTTGCTGCACCTGTCAATCAACCCATCACCTAGACATTAAGCTCTGCATACATTAGCTATTTATCCTGATGCTCTTCCTTCTCCCACCTCCAACAGGTCCCAGTGCATGTTGTTTCCCTCCCTGTGTCCATGTGTTCTCATTATTCAGCACCCACTTAAAAGTGAGAACATGCAGTCCTGGCGTGGTGGCTCATGCCTGTAATCCCAGCACTTTGGGAGGCTGAGGTGGGTGGATTACCTGAGGTCAGGAGTTTGAGACCAACCTGGCCAACATGGTGAAACCCTGTCTCTACTAAAAATACAAAAATTAGCCAGGCGTAGTGGTGCACGCCTGTAGTCCCAGCTACTCAGGAGGCAGAGGCAGGAGAATCTCTTGAACCCGGGAGGCAGAGGTTGCAGTGAGCCAAGATCGTGCCACTGCACTCCAGCCTGGATGACAAGAGCAAAACTCTACCTCAAAAAAAAAAAAAAAAAGTGAGAACATGCAGTGTTGATTTTCTGTTCCTGTGTTAGTTTGTTGAGGATAATGGCTTCCAGCTCTATCCATGTCCCTGCAAAGGACATGATCTGGTTTTATTTGTTTGTTTTGGTTTTTTTTATGGCTGCATAGCAATCCATGGTATATACATACCACATTTTCTTTATCCAGTCTATCACTGATGGGCATTTTGGGTTGATTCCCTGTCTTTGCTATTGTGAATAGTGCTGCAATGAACATATACATGCATGTGTCTTTATAATAGAATGATTTATATTCCTTTGTGTAAACACTTTACACTATTGGTGAGAATGTAAATTAGTCTAACCATTGTGGAAGTCTCATTGTTAATACAATTAATTTGGGAGGACAAGAAGGAGAGAGCCCTTTGAGCTCATAAAGACCTATACAAAGCCAATCTGATGTGAGTATGGCCCAGCATTTGAGGTCCTGAGAGTGGGACTAACCAGGTGAACACCTAAGGTCAACCTCAACCATGCATTCATTTATTCAAAAATGTTTCTTGAGCGCCTACTGTGTGCCTGCACTGAAATAGGTGCTGTGATAAAGTAGATAATATAGGTGACGTGATCCTTTTCCTCACAGGTTTACAATCCCAATCATGGTTTGATAGGCAACAATGTGAGACCTTGACTCTACAAAATATTAAAAAAGTAGCTGGGTGTGGTGGCATACACCTTCGGTTCCAGCCAAGTGTGATGCTGCTGCAGGAGGATCACTTGATACCAGGAAGTCGAGGCTACAGTAAGTCGTGTTTGTGCCACTGAATTCCAACCTGGACAACAGAGCGATATCCTATCTCAGAAAAAAAGAAAAGAAAAGAACAGAAAGGAAACAAGGAGACTCAGTAGTTTCTGGGTTAGAGTTAAAATGGACAAATTGTTCAGCCTGAATTGTGGGCTTTTAGTGGGGGAAATTCTGACAATTAGAAATGAAAAACAGGAATTGGTAGAAAAAAGAAACAATTATTAAAGCTAGTTTAAATATGCTCAATATATAAAAGAAGCTATAGTGTTAAAACCAAAATAAAAATAGTACATAAAGTATGTTCTAAAAGTTACTATTTTGCCCATATGAGTTTTCAATATTGTTTCTAAAAGTACTGTAAAGTGACCAATGTGTGAATCTAGGAGTGGAGTTATTAGCTTCCTGGATATATACGATATAAGGTGTTTTTTTAAAAAATTATTTCAATAGTTTCTAGGGTACAGGTGGTTTTTGGTTACACAAATAAGTTCTTAGTGGTGATTCCTGAGATCTTTAGTGCACCCATCATGTCACCCAAGTAGTGTACACTGTACTCAATATGTAGTCTTTTATCCTTCGGCCCCCTCCCAACCTTCCCTCTCAAGCCCCCAAAGTCCACTATATCATTCTTATGCCTTTGCATGCTTATAGCTTAGCTCCTACTTACAAATGAGAACAGATTATATTTAATTTTCCATTCTTGAGTTTAAAACTGGATTTTTTTAATATAGACAAAAAAGAGTTTTGGAAAGGCATATGGCAGGGTGGGGGTGGGGTGACATATTGTATAATATATCTGGCTTTTCTGTGTTTTCTGTCCTGGACCTCAGGTGGCGCAGTTTGTCTCATATTTGTGGACTGCTGTAGAACTCTTATTTGGTTTCCTGGTTAGTGCTATATGGGAAGTCATATGAGTCACATGAGAGGTTGTCTGTGACTCAAGAAGAGAAAAAAGGAAGAAAAAAAGAATGAAGGAGGGAAGGAAAGAAAAGAAGAAAGAAGAAAAGAAAGAAAGGAAGGAAGAAGGAATAATGGAAAAAACAAAGCCAGTTAAGATCCATTTTGGGAAACTGAACACAAGCCATACTGTGTTTGACAATGAAACTGTATGCAAAGCCCGGCTCAACCCACTTCTGTCATTCACTAGATACAATATAAGGCAGGGTAGGCTTTGGTATAGAAGAAGTGCCCCAGGATCTATGGACACAAACTAAAGCAGGTTTTAATTATAATGAGGTATGAAATTGGATTAATAGTGAGTTAACTAAGAACAACAGATAACTTTCCATGAAATAGATACTTTCAAGATCACTTGGAAAGGACAGATTTGGAGGGGGAAAAGATGTATGAAGCATTTAATATGGAAAATGCATTATCAAATAACCCAGTAATTTTGGTTTTCTCACAATATAATAATTCCTTGATAATATATTGCAGAATAGAATTTCTAAAATGTCATAATGACAAATGGACCTACAGTGAGTGTGGGGTAAAGATGCTGTTCAGTTTGGAGGACAATTACTAGGGTTGTTCATCTGTAATTAAAGAGTCTTTGGGCTGAAGAGAAATTCTCCCTTTATCTGCATAAATGTCTTCTTTGGAGAAGTGTCTGTTCATGTCCTTCATCCACTTTTTGATGAGATTGTTTGTTTTTTTCTTGTAAATTTGTTTCAGTTCATTGTCGATTCTGGATATTAGCCTTTTGTCAGATGAGTAGATTGCAAAAATTTTCTCCCATTCTGTAGGTTGCCTGTTCACTCTGATGGTAGTTTATTTTGCTCTGCAGAAGCTCTTTAATTAATTAGATCCCATTTGTCAATTTTGGCTTTTGTTGCCATTGCTTTTGGTGTTTTAGACATGAAGTCCTTGCCCATGCCTATGTCCTGAATGGTATTGCCTAGGTTTTCTTCTAGGGTTTTTATGGTTTTAGGTCTAACATGTAAGTCTTTAATCCATGTTGAATTAATTTTTGTATAAGGTGTAAGGAAAGGATCCAGTTTCAGCTTTCTACATATGGCTAGCCAGTTTTCCCAGCACCATTTATTAAGTAGGGAATCCTTTCCCCATTTCTTGTTTTTGTCAGGTGCAGCCAAAAGACACATGAGAAAGTGCTCATCATCACTGGCCATCAGAGAAATGCAAATCAAAACCACAATGAGATACCATCTCATACAAGTTAGAATGGCAATCATTAAAAAGTCAGGAAACAACAGGTGCTGGAGAGGATGTGGAGAAATAGGAACACTTTTACACTGTTGGTGGGACTGTAAACTAGTTCAACCATTGTGGAAGTCAGTGTGGTGATTCCTCAGGGATCTAGAACTAGAAATACCATTTGACCCAGCCATCCCATTACTGGATATATACCCAAAGGATTATAAAACATGCTGCTATAAAGACACATGCATATGTATGTTTATTGCGGCACTATTCACAATAGCAAAGACTTGGAACCAACCCAAATGTCCAACAGTGATAGACTGGATGAAGAAAATGTGGCACAAATACACCATGGAATACTATGCCGCCATAAAAAATGATGAGTTCATGTCCTTTGTAGGGCCATGGATGAAGCTGGAAACGAAGCTGGAAACCATCATTCTCAGCAAACTATCACAAGGACAAAAAACCAAACACCTCATGTTCTCACACATAGGTGGGAATTGAACAAGGAGAACACATGGACACAGGAAGGGGAACATCACACACTGGGGTCTGTTGTGGGGTCGGGGTGGGGCGGAGGGATAGCATTAGGAGATATACCTAATGTTAAATGACAAGTTAATGGGTGCAGCACACCAACATGGCACATGTATACATATGTAACAAACCTGCACGTTGTGCACATGTACCCTAAAACTTAAAGTATAATTAATAAAAAAAGAAAGAAATTCTCCCTTTATCTCATCTGTAAAGTATAGCATTGACCCTAAAGAGTAGATCTTAGGTGATTTTGAAAAGGGACCAACACCGCTATAAAATGCATCACAGAGACCCTTCATTCCAAACAGTTGTATAAAATAAGCTGCTTTCTCCTGTAATACTTTGGATATGAGCTGTGTTTTAGGGGAAAGGATGGATAACAGATCCTTTGAAAGTATCATTGCACTGATAGTATGAATTAAATGTGAAGCAATTCACAAACTATTTGTAACATTTACAACAAATAATTCAAAGAGTTAATGTCCAAATGAATGAAGACCTCTAAAGCAACAAGTAAGCCACAGACACCTCAACAGAAAAAAGATGAAGGATAAAAATAGGAAATTCATGGAAGAAACAAAAATACTTCATAAAACATGTGAAAAGTAACCAGGAAATTCACATTTTAAAAATTAGATTTTTTTCTCATGAGATTGGGGAAAAAATAAGAGCTTATTGATAACTATTGATAGTTATGGTAGGAGAAAATGGGTACTCGCATATATTTTTGGTAGGAATTTTGTAGCTTTATTCAAGGTCAATTGGTAGTATTGAAGTTAAAATGAACCTCTCTCTCAAGTCATGATTTAACTTTAAGCTATCAATCTCAAAGAAATGCTCACATGAAAACCCAAAGAAGCATGGACGAAAATGCTCACTACTGAATAGTGGATGTGGATATGAAGTTATATTACATGGTCTTATCCTCAGGGAGTTTATGTGGTTAGGAAGTTAAGACTTGTACCTAAGGAAATTAAAACCAGAATATTTAAATGTTCCAATCCAAGCAATGTGTAAATACGTGGAAGGAAAGAAAGATAATTATGATGTGGGTTTCATAAGGAAGATTTTGTCTAGAAAGTAAAACGTCTGGTTAATAAAACTGTATACCTAGTTATTATTAAAAAGTGAGCATTTATTAATTAAAACCTAAGTTTTATGAAGTCAGGTTTTTGTTTATTTTATTTCTTGCTCCTCCGCAAAACCTGGAACAGTGCCCAGCACAGAGTAGGCAATGAGAACATATTTCTTGAAGAAATTTAGTAATATAAAACTGTATAAAATATTTTAAAAAAGAAAGTTTTTAGATATAAAGACAAATAAAATGACAACAAAAAGCAAAAAAAAACCCCCCAAAAAAAAAACCCACAACAGAAAGCAAAAAAAAAAAAAAAAAAAAAAACCCACAACAAAAACCAAAATAACCATAGGATTATTCGTGCACCATTATTATAGGCAGGCAAGAATAATAATAACAGCTGAATAACCGTGTAATACTTTGTTCTATTTTGTGAAATATGCATCTAAAATCATTTAAAATGACAGATAATTTTATCATTTTAAAAACGAAATAAACTCAAAACAATTCTCAAAGGAGCCCTAAAAGCAGTATGTTTACGTATTAAAATAGTATTCATCTCTTTACATTCTACATTAAAGTAATTGTCTGCTGTTTTTATAAATAACATGTGTCTAAGCTGTCAGTTTACTAAATGACGTTATCATTCTTGTTATATCCCAAACCAAACTTTGCTAGAAAATTTATGTCTAACCTTGCTCTATTAAAAAGAGTGGTTGTGATTTCTTGTTTTTATTTGTAAAAGTATATATCAAGGATGTTGTGTTATCATACGCTAAAGAGAAAGAGTTGTCAAATCATGATATTGAAGTCCCTTAGAGATTTTCTACTCCCATTCATTTTTATTAATCTCCTAAATGGGGAAGCCAAGACTCAGAAAGGATGACTTACAGAGGCTTCAAAATCAAAAGGACTTATGTATGAAGCAGTTGTGTACATTAACTGCAGAAGCCCAGAGATGTTTATAACCTCTCTGGGCTTCAGTTTTCCCACTTATAAAATGGGCATAATAATACCTTCCTTTCCAGGTTTGGGAATAAAATGAGATAATATATGTAGTGTACTTATCACTATGCTGTAGACATTTATTCCCTCAGTAAACAGTATTATACACAATGATAATGTTAGTTACTGTTGTTAGTAGCAGCAATGCTCAAGGTGACACACCTTATGTGGAGTAACTGGTACAGTTGGGGACAACCTGAGCTAAGCATCATTTAGTCCACTCATTTTCTAATTAATGATGCATCAAAACGAATCAAATGTTTACAAGTGGAATAAATGATAGTACACATCAAGTGAATACAAAACATCTAGGTGAGTATACAGCACATATTTCTAGAGGAAAATGACAAAATTTTAGGAGCAGGCACTTTCCCGAGTTTATAACCGTACATGTAACTCTCAGTATTGGTCATAACATTTTCTACTTTTTTTATTGTCAAAAATATGCTGGTTTGCGTTTGCTGCCCCAGCATAATTATTAACAATGTTTTATATTAATTTCAAAAGTATTCCAGATTAGATAGTAAATTATATAATAATTCTAGGCTTAAAACAAATATATGGTCTCTAACTGACACAGCTTAAAAAAAAATTCTAGGCCAAGCACGGTGGCTCACGCCTGTAATTCCAGCACTTTGGGAGGCCGATGCAGGCGGATCACCTGAGGTCAGGAATTCGAGACCAGCCTGGCCAACATAGTGAAACCCTGCCTCTAATAAAAATACAAAAATTACCTGGGCATGGTGGAAGGCGCCTGTAATCTCAGCTACTCCGAAGGCTGAGGCAGGAGAATCACTTGAGCCCAGGAGGCAGAGGTTGCAGTGAGCTGAGATCGTGCCATTGCACTCCAGCCTGGGCAACAAGAGAGAAACTCTTGTTTTCTTTTGTTATTTTTTTTTTAATTCTAATCATAAATAGGTCACAAGTGAGAAGGTTGCATTAGTGTGGCCTCATGATGAGATATATTTTACCAGTGTTAGTCCATTTAGAAGTTAAATCTCCATTGAATGGGACTTAAAGTCTAAGAAAGAAAAAGTAATAAGTCATCTACAACACATAATTGGAGATTTTATTAATTATGTCAGAACACCTTATCAAAGCGTTAAGTGGTAACATTCTTGCATTAAAAGTCTTTAAAATCAAATGGTTCATTGGTATGTAGTACCATAAACCCAAATGGGAACTGAACAAGAATTTTCATTTCCTTTTAAAATAAAAGTTTATTGGTTACATATTAATATCTGTGGAAAGCTACAGAACTTGCCTAAACATATCCTAGGAATATAAACTGTTAATAAATAAGGTGCTGCCAAACCAAGGCAGCCTACCTTGTCATTATCAATCTGGTTTCCTAAAATACTTTCTTGCCTCTAATACATCATTAGTCAGGTAGATAAAGCCATTTTTTCTTTCTGACAGGTTAGAGCCCTGTATTCCAGAAAGAGGTGCATTATTAGCTAAGAAATTGATCATAATCTTGAACTTGTTGAAGTTTACCTCTGTATATGGGTAAATGAATACATATTTGTGGAAGTGTTTCCAAAGAATTTTGTGCTAATAATTATTCTGTTAGATGCCTATACTTCTTAAATTGTCCTAAGGTAAACTTTCACCATCGTTCTTCAAAAAATTCTTTTTCAAAAGCAACTTTAAGCCATTAGATTTTCTCTCCATCATTAAGAAGTTCACACTCTGGTGTGGGGCAATGAATAATGAAGACACAGAAGCCCAGAGACAAATAGAGACAGGCAGAGGCTGTGAATTTTCCACAAATTGGATCCCTGTGAAACTGGGTTGTAATAGAATAAACAGTAGATAAACATAGTTTGCATTCAGAAAAATCAAGAGAAATAATCCAGAAAATAGGTTTTTTTTTCAAACAGAAAAGCAAATTTTAGTGTTATGTAGTTAATAATAATTATTAAAATAATATTACTATCACAGACCAGGTGCTGGAGCAACATTGCTTTATTGCAGAGGTCTTCACTGTCAATAGGAGTTTCTTGCAAAATCTTAAGCAATAAGTCAGCATTCGCAATTTAGTTTTTGAGCAGAGGCTGAAGGTCACAGACACAGAGCATTAAAGGATCAGGCTAACATCATAACCCTTAGTGTTATACTGGGATCACTGGATATCCACAGTGAAGGTTTTTCCTCATTCTCTATTCAGCACCAACTAGAATCAGGCCATTTCATTGCACATAGAATTATGCAGCTAAATTTCCAGGCTTTTTGTGAAATATTAAAGCTTTCTATGTTTGTAAGTTTCTGAATCCCCTTTGTTTATTTAGGTTTTTATGCCTGTGAGCAGAGCTGTCAGAAGAAGTTAGTTTTTAAAAGATTACACAGAAATGGGAAAGCAGGAAGCCAGAACAATCAAGTCAGCATCATTTTTTATTCAACCACCCAAGGAATGATATTGTTAAGGATCTCAGAGTGTATTGCCTAGAGAAAGGGAGAGGGGAAAAAAAGCATTAGATTCTGCTGGAAGAGTGTTTAAAATGAGGCATTCCCTTTTCTTTCAGTTAAGAAATTCATCTACATATATTTTATAACCAAATGTTGCCTGTAATGATGACTTTTCACAGAAGTATGTAATTAAATGATGCACATTATAAAAATAATGACTGAAATAAAGAACGAATTCACAGTTTGGGGATTCTCTTAATAAATCCTGTGTGACAGATGCCAATTATGATCATTGCAGCTGCCTAATTTGCTTTCATGTTCCTCTCTATCTCACTTTTCACTCACAGTTTTGGTATCTTGCCCTTTTTTGTACATCTTTTCAATTATCTCTGGTTTGAATCATTCCCCAATCACAAGAAGGATCGGCCTAGTCCCAACCCACATTCAAGAGATGTCTTTGAAATGTCAACTTCCCTTATCAAAGAGGGTTGAGGATAAATCTCAGCCAAGTCTCCCAAGAAGGACGAGCAGTACTCAGGACTCTTCTCTAAGTCCTCCGTGATTTTCTGGCTTCCTTAAGGTGATCATTCTCTAAGGCTCTCAGGACATTCCCCTGTTGCAGGACTTACTTTTTAAATAATATTGCAGTTGTCTGTTTACTTTCCCCTCTTCCTATTATGCTCTAAGAGAGTAAGGATTATGTGTTTCCTTCATTGGAATATTTGAAATCCTAGGACCTATCTGTGTCAAACATATAGTTAACCTCTATAAATATTTGTTGAAGAAAGGAATGAAGGCATTGATTAATCAATTAGCTAATTAACTAGGAAGCTACTGGAGATAATACTTTTGGAAACTGTTTACTCTCCTGACGTATAATTAGGGACCAATTGAAACTGTTTCTAGCTCATTTTATCTGTTTATTGACATATCAGGTATAACATTCATTTGTTCATCAACAAGAAAAGGTATTACCTATTATCCAGCAGGAACTATTTTAACCCATTTATGCCTATTTGTTCTTTGACAAGAAAAGGTACTTATTGAGTACGTATTATGCAGAAGGAACTATTTTAACCTATTTATGCCTGAGGTGCAATTTTTTGAATTTTTGCAATCAGACCTTGGCAATGACCTTGAGCAGTAGGATATAAATAACTCTCACATGCTTAGCGCTCTAATAATGGAACACTAGGCTAAATGGGTAGTACCAGGGAAAGAGTGGTCAACAAAACAAACCAAATGTCCTATCTTCCAGGACCCTAGAAATGGTTTGGCAAAAATTAGAATAATAATGTAGGAACTCATAGAATATGGTACTTTCGATTGTGAGTTAGTGGGAGGCATCTCAGGGAAGATAACTATTTGAGCAGAGACCAAAATGAAGGGGCAGACTAAGTGAACATATAGGGGAAGAAAGTTCTCAGCTTTTGTCCAGAGAAAGATATGGAATCTTTGTACGGTTTTGAACAGAAGACTACTGTGGTATGATTTCCACTTTTAAAGGATTCTTCTGAATATTATGGAGAACAGAATGACATCAGGAAGACTTGTAGAGGACTACTACCATTATTTAGAAGACAGCTGATGGTTTGGTGTGAAACTGCTGTAGTGGGGGTGGCAAAATGTTGTAAACGTAAAATATATTTTGAGGATAGAACCAACAGAATGGACTAGATATGCAATATGAGATAAAGTGGAGTCAATAATTCCTCTATTTTTCTTCCTGATCAGCAATTGGGTGAATGAAGTTGGCATTTATTGTGATTAGGAATACTAGGGAATTAGGAGTCTAGTTAGTTTCTGGTTAAGTTTGAGATGTCTATTTGACATCATAACAGAGATGTTAAGTAGGGAGTTGATTATGAAGCCAGAGTTCAAAGTTAAAAGTCTGGGCTGGAGATATAATTCCTGATGCCATCTGCATACCAATATTGCTGGAGTAGAAAGATCACCACCTGGGAAATGAGTTTATTCATGATCTCTAGTTAAATGTTCTGTGCTGTCTTTGGACCTTTTAATTTTTTTCTTGGTATGATTTTTCATCCTAAAGACTAATTGTTTTCAACCTCAGTTTAAATGTCATTTTCTCATGGAGGCCTTTCCTGACTTTCTAGAGAGATGAAATACAATTTCTATAAATGCCAGTATCACTGGCATTACTACTTAGCCCTGAGTAACACACATTGCATTTCGGTAACTTGACAAAAAGTATTATGTTGCATGATACTTGAAGTCAGGTGTTGTTTTATTTTAGTGTACACAGTTCCTAATCCAGTACAAGTGTATCATTGGTCTTCAGTAACCTTTTTGTTAAACTCAATTGCATTGTGATATAGTTTGGCTCTATCCCCACCCAAATCTCATATTGAATTGTAGTTCCTACAATCCCCGTGTGTCATGGGAGGGACCCAGTGGGAGGTAATTGAATCATGGGGGCGGTTACCTCCATGATGTTCTCATGATAGTGAGTTCTTGCAAGATCTGATGGTTTTATAAGGGGATTTTCCCATTTTGCTTGGCACTTCCCCTTGCTGCCACCAAGTGAGGAAGGACGTGTTTGCTTCCCCCTCCACCATGATTGTAAGTTTCCTGAGGCCTCTCCAGCCCTGCAGAACTGTGAGTCAATTAAATCTCTTATAAATTACCCTGTCTTGGGTATGTCTTTATTAGCAGCATGAGAATGGACTCATATAGTAAATTGGTACCAGGAGAGAGTGGGTTGCTGCTGTAAAGATACCCAAAAAATGTGGAAGCAACTTAGGAACTGGGTAACAGGCAGAGGTTGGAACTGTTTGGAGGGCTCAGAAAAAGATTAAATGTGGGAAAGTTTGAAACTTCCTAGAGACTTGTTGAATTGCTTTTACCAAAATACTGACAGTGATATATGATATATAACAATAAAGTCCAGGCTGAGGTGATCTCAGATGGTGTGATGGTTAATATTGTATGTCAACTTGATTGGATTGAAGGATGCAAAGTATTGTTCCTGAGTGTGTCTGTGAGGGTGTTGCCAAAGGAGATTAACATTTGAGTCAGTGAACTGGGAGATGCACATCCACCCTCAATCTGGGTGGGCACCATCTAATCAGCTGCCAGCATGGCTAGGATAAAAGCAGACAGAGGAACATGGAAAGAGTAGCCTGGCTTAGTCTTTGGGACTACATATTTTTCGCATGCTGGATGCTCTCTGCCCTCAAACATCGGACACCAAGTTCTTCAGCTTTTGGACTCTTGGACCTTCAACCACAGATTGAAGACTACACTGTTGGCTTCCCTGATTTTGAGATTTGGGGACTCAGACTGGCTTCCTTGCTCCTCAGCTTGCAGACGGACTATTGTGGGACCTCATCTTGTGATTGTGTGAGTCAATATTCCTTAATAAACTCCACTTTGTATATACATCTATCCTATTAGTTCTGTCCCTCTAGAGAACCCTGACTAATACAGATGGAGATGAGGAACTTGTTGGGAACTGGAGTAAAGGTCTCTCTTGCTATGCAAAGAGACTGGTGGCATTTTGCCCCTGCCCTAGAGATTTGTGGAAATTTGAACTTGAGGGAGATGATTTAGGGTATCTGGCAGAGAAATTTCTAAGCAGCAAAGCATTCAAGAGGAAGCAAAGCATAAAAGTTTAGAAAATTTGCAGCCTGACAATGTGATAGAAAAGAAAAACCCATTTTATGGGGAGAAATGGAAGCCTGCTGCAGAAACTTGCTTAAGCAATGAGGAGCTGAATGTTAATCACCAAGTCAATGGGAAAAATGTCTTCAGGTCAGCCCCTCCCATCACAGGCCCAGAGGCCTAAGAGGGAAAAATGGTTTCCTGGGCTGGGTCCAGGGCCCTTCTGCTGTGTGCAAACTTGGGACTTGGTGCCCTGCATTCTTGCCACCTTGTGAAGAAGGTACCTTGCTTCTCATTCACATCCTGCCATGATCGTAAGATTCCTGAGGACTTCCCAGTCATGCTGAACTGTGAGTCAATTAAACACTTTTCCTTTATAAATTACCCAGTCTTGGATATGTCTTTGTTAGCAGTGTGAGACTGGACTAATACACATTGTTAACCAGAAACGAATCTCTTTTGACTTTTGAGTAAGCAGTCTCTTATGACATAAGATTATTATCAAATAGTTGTAATTGCAGAAGTACTGCGCAAGTCTTTAAAAGAAAGTGCAGTTCTCTATATCTACACTTTCATTCCATTGCCATTCCATCCCAGTGCCATCCTGATTGAACAGTGCAATTAGATAGAGTGTTAATTGTCTGCTAATAGGAGGAATAATGTTAAAATTGCACAGTTCATTCATGTAATAACACCCAAATTACTGTTTTAGATTCTTTTCTAATTTATAACAAAGTTCAGGGATGCTGACCCAATCTTTCACAAACACGGTAGCAAATTGTGTTGATAGAAAACATTGTATTGAAATTCTGAATGTAAAATGCATACTAGGCTTGCATTAGGGGATGATCTAAAAGGAAAGAGTATTCAGTTTTACATTTTTAAATCCTCATTTAAAATATCTTTTGTAAACATTAAACCTAGAAAGATATATAGCAGTTTCTCCAGGATTTGCTTTTGGATTGGCTTGAGGGTGTCAAAGAAAGAAAAGTACACAGAAAAACCTTGTACAACAATGAGCATTCACTAAATGTAAATGGGGTTTCAGTTTAGAAAGCGTTATAGGAGAGGTACTGAGGTTAGGTGTTCATCTACATTGACTGCATTTATCCTAATGGTCCCCTGATTTTTATACTAGTCACATTTTATTTTTAACAATGTATGTTGTTTATATTTTCTCTCCCTACTTTTTTTTTTTTTTTAGATGGAGTTTTGCTCTTGTGACCCAGGCTGGAGTGCAATGGTGCGATCTTGGCTCATTACAAGCTCTGCCTCCCAAGTTCAAAGATTCTCCTGCCTCAGCATCCCAATTATCTGGAATTACAAGCATGCACCACTATCTGCAGCTAATATTTTGTATTTTTAGTAGAGACATGGTTTCATCATGTTGGCCAGGCTGGTCTGGAATTCCTGACCTCAAGAGATTCACCTGCCTCAGCCTCCCAAAGTGCTGGGATTACAGGTGTGAGCCACTGTTCCTGGCCTCTCTCCCTACTTTTAAAGATTCAAAAAAAGCTAATCTTCTTATCATATTCCTTAGAAGTATGTAAAAATCTAATATATTTCATACTAGTAAACTGTAAATAGTTCAAATACTTACTCATATTTGCCTACGATTGTTTAATCCTTTTAAAACAACACTACTCCACTCAAAAATTTATCTTAGTACCCATTGCTTATGAATAATTCCTGAAATCAAGGCCCTTTGCAATCTGAATTTTGCTATAATTTTGCTTTCAGATTAATTTCCCACTATTTCCAAGCACAAATCATTTAAACCTCACAAAAATAGACACTTCCAGTTTCCACTCAAACATACTGCTCCTAAACCTTGCTCTATATTTTACTCATGCTAACTCCTATGCTTAGAATTTCTTTCTTTCTCATTTGAATTTCTTAGCTCTATATAACCTCCACGATGAAAATCATAAACTTATCTCCTTACGTTTCAACTTGTATCTTTCTCTAGTCACGAAGCCACCATAACATTTGTTATTTTAATTATTACATTTATTTATTCTATGCATATTTATTGACCTTTCCAGTTCAAGTCAAAATTTGTTGATTATTTTTCATGAGCAAATGTGGTTTATAGGTACTTCAAAAGCAGGGATCATGTCTTATTTTTCTCTCATGATTTTCATAGCATTTGCTTTATGCCCCATAAATACTTGTTGACTGAATAGATTAATTAATGTACATTTATAGATTTTGTACTGTCTCATAAGACCAGGGTAGTAGATGTCATTAATGTTTTGACTGGTGACCCATTACCCACTGCACCAATAGCCTTTCTTAGTGTCTAATGACTTGCATGTGAGACCTTGTCCTAGACTTGCCCTTGAATTATGAGTTCAACCTTAATTAAGGAAACCTGGAGATGAACTGCTTGATTCATCAGTTGGTGGTCAGTTTTTTGTAAGAAGCAAAAGAAACTCATCATTATACTTATGGTAAAACATCAGATTTCATACTAAGGGACTTTGTGAGGTTACATAGCCTCTCTCTTACTTTCTGGCAGAATCCCTGAGCATACTTAAAGTATAATTATTTATTTACAGACTGGTATAACTGTTCCTAGTGTAGCAGATCCCCACAGATGGACATTCTAAAGTCTTCCCACCCAAGTAAGTTATTTCATATTCTGGGAGCACTAAAAATTTAAGGGCCTATCTTGATTATTTTAGTCATCTTTACTTGAATTTATAATCATGATTATTAACAAAATGGTCAATTGGTGCAAAATTTGCTCTTTTTTTTTTGAGACAGAGTCTCACTCTGTGGCGCCCAAGCTGCAGTGCAGTGGCATGATCTCAGCTCACTGCAACCTCTGCCTCCTGGGTTCGAGTGATTCTCCTGCCTCAGCCTCCTGAGTAGCTGGGACTACAGATGCACGCCACCACGCCTGGCTAATTTTTTGTATTTTTTAGAAGAGACGGAATTTCACCGTGTTAGCCAGGATGGTCTCGATCTCCTGACCTCATGATCCACCCACCTTGGCCTCCCAAAGTGCTGGAATTACAGGCATGAGCTACCATGCCTGGCCACATTATTGTTAACTATTTTCAAAAAGTTAAAAAAAGAACTTTTTACTTCTGTCTAACTGAAGCTTTGTACACTTTGACTAACATCTCCCCTTTCCCCGTCTACCCTACTCCCAGCCTCCGGTAACTACCATCTTACTCTCTATAATGGAATACTATTCGGCCTTTAAAAAGATGGATGTTTTGTCATTTGCAACAATGTGGATAAATCTAGAGGATATTATGCTAAGTGAAATAAGCCAGACACAGAAAGACAAATCCTAAATGATTTTATATGAGAAATCAAAAAAGTAGATGTTGTTATTTGTAAAAACATTTTTTTAGGCAGATGTTCCATTACTTCCAGTTAAAGACATCCTAACTGAAATAGTATTAATCTGTTTCTCACTTGGAGTGACATGGTACAACATGTATTTATTTTATGTTGAATTCTTCCTACAATTACTTTAAATAATCCTTTATTTTGAATTCTTCCTGCAATTACTTTAAAGAATCTTTATCTAATTTATGCCTGATTTGAGGTTAAGAAATCTATGACACTCAGCCAAATTACACCCATAGTGTAAGGTTTATAAATACAAGTTTCTATTCAGACAGATCCAAGTTTTCATTCTAATTCTGGAATTTATTGACTGTATGATACTGAATCTCTGTTCGAAGCTTCAGTGCCATCATCTTTAAGGTGAGTCAAACAATACCTACATTTTAGGGTCTTATCAGAACTGAATAAGGTCGTGTATATAAACTATTTAGCAGAGGAAAAATGGTGGCTAGGAGAAGTGACTAATGTGCAGCTCCTGCTTGGATGGATAGAACCGTGTCTGGAGACTCACAGTGTGAACTTTTGCTCCAATAACCACCACAGGAACATACCAGGAGAACCAAAAGAAATCACAGGCCCTTTGAAAGAAGTGGCTTGTTGCTGCAAACACCATGAGACAGCTGAAAAACTCCAAAGCAAAAGACAAAAGCTCTTGGGAGCTCTATGGCTCCGTCCATTGCCTGAGAAAGCCGAGTACTCATCCCAGTCAACAGAGGGCAAGATTATATCACCCCCCCTTTATAATACTATTGTAGCTGGCACTGTCTTGAAAGCACCACCTCCTCACTGAAGGCTAACAAACTCCAGTCATTACAGCAACTCATAACAGAACAACCCTCCTCCAAAAAAGAGAAAATAATGGCTAATTCCACTGCTTGCAGCACCCTGGCTTACCAGAGGTCCTGAGTCCATCCATGTGACAACTTCACTGTTAACATAACCAGCATCCAAGAAAACCTGTGCACTAAACAAAACTACAATCAAGGACTCCCACAGAGTCCACTTCACTCCTCTGCCACATTCACCAAAGCAGGTGCTGGTATTCATGACTGGGAGACCTGAATATGGATTATATCACAGGACCCTTTGCAGACATTCCCCAGCCAGCCTGGAACCTGGTAGCCATGCTAGGTGGCTAGACCCAGGAGAGCAATAACAATCACTGCATCTGATTCTCAGGAAGCACCAACTTTAGAGGAAGGGGGAGGGCACTACATCAAGGGATCACCCCATGGGACAAAACAATCTGAACAGTAGCCCTTTAGTTCCAGATCTTTCCACTGAAACAGTCTACACAAATGAGAAGGAACCAGAAAAAGTAATTCTGGTAATATGACAAAACAAGGCCCTATAACACCCCCAAAAGATCACACTAGCTCTCCAGCAATGGATCCAAAAAAGAAGAAATCTCTGAATTGCCAGAAAAATAATTCAGAAGATTAATTATTAAACTACTAAAGGAGGCACCAGAGGAAGGTGAAAACAAACTTAAAGAAATTTAAAAGACTATAAAAATGTGGATGAAAAAGTCTCTAGAGAAATAGATAGCATAAAGAAAAGACAATCACAAATTCTGGAAATGAAAGACACACTTAGAGAAATGCAAAACACACTGGAAAGTTTCAACAATAGAATCAAACAAGTAGAAGAAAGAACTTCACAGCTCAAAGACAAGGCTTTTGAATTAACCCAATCCAACAAAGACAAAGAAAAAAATTTTAAACGTAAACAAGGCCTCTACAAAATTTGGGATTATGTTAGATGACCAAACATAAGAATAATTGGTGTTCCTGAGGAAGAAGAGAAATCTAAAAATTTTGAAAAGCTTATTTGAGGGAATAATTGAGAAAAATTTCCCTTTTCTTGATCGATATCTGACATCCAAATACAAGAAGCTCAAGCATCATCTGGAAACTTATCCTAAAAAGATAAGGCATATAGTCATCAGATTATCTAAAGTCAAGATGAAGGAAATAATCTTAAGAGCTGTGAAGCAAAAGCATAAGGTAACCTAAAAAGGAAAACCTATCAGATTAATAGCAGACTTCTCAGCAGAAACCCTGCAAGCCAAAAGGGATTGGGGTCCTATCTTTAGCCTCCTTAAACAAAATAATTATCAGCCAAGAATTTTGTATCGAGTGAAACTAAGCTTCCTAAATGAAAGAGAGATAAAGTCTTTTTCAGACAAACAAATGCTGACAGAATTTGCTACCACAAAGCCAGCACTATAAGAAATGCTAAAAGGAGTTCTAAATCCTGAAACAAAACCTTGAACTACATGAAAATAGAACCTCCTTAAAGCATAAATCTCAAGGACCTATAAAACAGTAACAAAATGAAAAAAGAAGCAAGGCATTCAGGCAACAAATAGCACAATGAATAGAACAGTATTCACATCTTAATACTAACATTCAATGTAAGTGGCCCAAATGCTCTGCTTAAAATATACAGAATGGCATAGTAAGTAAAAATTTACCAACCAAGTATCTGCTGTCTTCAAGAGACTCACCTAACACATATTGACTCACATAAACTTAAGGTAAAGGGGTGGAAAAAGACATTCCATGCAAATGAATATCAAAGTGAGCAGGAATAGCTATTCGTATATCAGACAAAACAGACTTTAAAGCAACAACTGTTAAAAAAAAGACAAAGAGGGACATTATATAGTGATAAAAGGATCAGTCCAACAGGAAAATATTACAATCTTAAATATATATGCACCTAATACTGAAGCTCCCAAATTTATAAAACAATTACTACTAGGCCTAAGAAATGAGATAGCAAAACGATAATAGGGGGGTTTTCGGTACTCCACTGACAGCACTTGCCAGGTCATCAAGACAAAAAGTCAACAAAGAAACAATGGACTTTAATTATACCCTAGAACAAATGGACTTAACAGATATTTACAGAAAATTTTACTCAACAACTGCACAATATACATTCTATTCATCAGCACATGGAACATTCTCCAAGACAGACCATATGATAGGCCACAAAAACAAGTCTCAATAAATTTAAGAAAATCAAAATTATTTTTTGTACTCTTTCAGAGTATAGTGGAATAAAATTGGAAATTAACTCCAAAAGGAATACTCAAAACTATACAAATACATGGAAATTAAATAATCTGCTCCAGAATGATCTTTGGGTCAACAGTTAAATCAAGATGGAAATTTAAAAATTATTTGAACTGAATGATAATAGTGGCATAATCTATCAAAACCTCTGGGATACAGCAAAAGCAATGATAAGAGGAAAGTTTACAGCATTAAATTCCTACATCGAAAAGTCTGAAAGAGCACAAATGGACAATCAAGACTACACCTCAAGGAACTAGAGAAACAAGAACAAACCAAACCAAACCCAGCAGAAGAAAAGAAATAACAAAGATCAGAGCATAACTAAATGAAATTGAAAGAAAACAAAGATAAAACAAAAAGCTGGTTATTTGAAAAGAAAGACACAATCAATAGACCATTAGTTAAATTAACCAAGAAAAGAAGAGATAAGATCTAAATAACCTCAATTAGAAACAAAGCAGAAGATATTACTACTGATACCACAGAAATACAAAAGATCATTCAAGGCTACTATAAACACCTTTATGCACACAAACTAGAAAACCTAGGGGAGATGGAAAAATTCCTGGAAATATATAACCCTCCTAGATTAAACCAGGAAAAAATAAAAACTCTGAACGGTCCAATAACAAGTAGCAAGATTAAAACAGCAATAACAAAAATTGCTAACAAGAAAAACTCCAGGACCAGATGGATTCACAGCTAAATTCCATCAGACATTCAAAGAAAAATTGTTACCAATCCTACTGAAACCATTCCACAAGATAAAGAGGGAATCCTCCCTAAATCATTCTATGAAGTCAGTATTACCCTAATACCCAAAACAGACAATTACAGACCAATATCACTGACGAACATAGATGCAAAAATCCTCAAGAAAATACTAGCTAATGGATCCAATAGCATATCCAAAGACAATACACCATGATCAAGTGGGTTGCATACCAGGGATGCAGGGTTGGTTAAACATGTGCAAGCCAATAAATATGATACACCACATAAACAGAATTTAAAGCAAAAATCACATGATCATCTCAGTAGATGTATAAAAAGCACTTGACAAAATGCAGCATCCCTGTATGATTAAAATCTTCCACGAAATTGACATAGAAGGAAAAAATCTTAAGATAATAAAAGTCATCTATGATAAACCCACAGCCAACATTATATTGAATGGGAAAAAGTTGAAAGCATTCTCCCTGAGAACTGGAATGAAACAGGAATGCCCCCTGACACCACGTCTTTTCAACACAGTACTGGAAATCCTAGCCAGAGCAATCAGACAGAAAAAATAAAGGGCATCCAAATCAGTAAAGAGGAAGTCAAACTCACTGTTCACTGATGATATGATTGTGTACATACAAAACCGTAAAGACACATCCAAAAATTTCCCAGATCTGATAAATGAATTCAGTAAAATTTCAGGATACAAAAATCAATGTACACTAATCAGTAGCACTGCTACACACCAACAGAGACCAAGCTGAGAATCAAATCAAGAACTCAACCTCTTCTACAACACCTGCAAAACAAATAAATAAATAAATAAAACTCAGCAATATACCTAACCAAGGAGGTGACAGAGCTCTACAGGAAAACTACAAAACACTGCTGAAAGCAATCATAGAAGACACAAACAAATGGAAATACATCCCATGCTCATGGATGGGTAGAATCAATATTGTGAAAATGACCACACTGCCAAAAGCAATCTATAAATTTAATCTAATTCCCATCAAAATACCATCATCATTCTTCACAGAACAAGAAAAAGCAATCCTAAAATTCATATGAAACCAAAAAAGAGCCAACATAGCCAAAGCAAGACTAAGAAAAAAAGACCAAATCTGGAGGCATCACATTACCAGGCAAGGATATAGTTACCTAACAGCCTGATACTGGTGTACAGGCATGTAGACCAATGGAACAGACTAGAGAACCCAAAAATAAACCCAAATACTTACAGCCAACTGATCTTTGACAAAGCCAACAAAAACATAAAGTGGAGAAAAGGACACCCTATTCAACAAATTGGTGCTGGGATACTTGGCAAGCCACATGTAGAAGAATGAAACTGGATCCTTATCTCTCGCCTTATACAAATATCAACTCAAGATGGATCAGAATTAAATCTAAGACCTGAAACCATAAAAATTCTAGAAGATACCATTGGAAAAACCCTTCCAGACATTGGCTTAGGCAAAAACTTCTTGACCAAGAACTCAAAAGCAAATGCAACAAAACCAATCATAAATAGATGGGACTTAATTAAACTAAAAAGCTTCTGCACAGCAGAAGAAATAATCAGCAGAATAAACAGAAAACCCAAAGAATGAGAGAAAATCTTCATAAAGTATGCATACAACAAAGGACTAATATCCGGAATCTACAAGGAAATCCAACAAATCAGCAAGAGAAAAACCAAATAATCCCATCAATTCTCAGAAGAGACATAAGTGGCCAACAAACATATGAAAAAATGCTCAACATCACTAATCAGTGAAATGCAAATCAAAACCATAATGCGATACCACCTTACTCCTGCAAGGATGGCCATAATCAAAAAAATCAAAAAATAATAGATGTTGGAATGGATGCAGTGAAAGGGAACACTTCTACACTGCTGGTGGGAATGTAACTACTAGTACGACCACTGTGAAAACAGTATAGATATTCTTTAAAAAACTAAAAAGAAAATTACCATTTGATCCAGCAATCCCCCTACTGGGTATCTACCCAGAAGAAAAGAAGTCATTATATGAAAAAGACACTTATACATACATGTTTAAAGCAGCACAATTCACAATTGCAAAGATATAGAACCAGCCTAAATGACCATCAACCAAGTGGATACAAAGGCATAAGAATGATATAATATACTCTGGGGCCTTGGGGGGAAGGTTGGGAGGGAGGTGAGGGATAAAAGACTACACATTGGGTGCAGTGTACACTGCTCGAGTGAAATCTCAGAAATCACCACTGAAGACCTTATCCATGTACCCGAACACACTACCTGTTCCCCCAAAACTATTGAAATTATTATTATTATTATTATTATTATTATTATTTTGAGATGGAGTCTGGTTCTGCCACCCAGGCTGGAGTGCAATGGTGCAATCTCGGCTCACTGCAACCTCTGCCTCCTGGGTTCAAGTGATTCTCCTGACTCAGCCTCCCGAGTAGCTGGGACTACAAGCATGCACCACTACGCCCAGCTAATTTTTGTATTTTTCGTATGGGGAAATAATAATTTAAAAAAAAAACTGTTTAACAGATTTTTTGGTACAGGTTAAGCAGTTAAAAGAGATAATTTTAATGAGTGAAGTGGAGATGGAAATTCCACCACCATTGTAATCGCCATGGCAGTGTGTCAATATATAATCTAGTTGTAGTTTTCAAACTCTGTAAATACTTAGCCCTACCTCAATCACTCCCCAAATTGGAGATCCTAAATTAATCCTCCAGGTGATAATCTCTACAGCAGGTCTCAATTACTGATGGCAGTGTGTCATATTACTCAGGTGTGCTAGGCCAAAACAAAGAGAATCACAGTATTATTAAATCCACTTATTATTTCTAGGTTCTCATTAGCATGATGACATACTTAGATATTTGGAAACAAACATTATGCTAACATGAGGTCATTCTTGTTATGTCTCTTCTTCTTCCCCTGTCTTTCCCACTCAGTCTTGGTTTCTAGACCACTCAGTCTTTCTGTAACCTAACTGGATGCATTCCAGTTTGTTAATATCCCTTTCAAAATATACTGGAACTGAAACCAGTAATTCCTCTCCAGGTAGCGTAAAGAGGAAAGATCAGCAGCCCTTGTAGTTTTCCTCCACTGAATGTTATGCTTCTGGAGATATGCCTGCAGCTTCGGGCACTCTTTTAGCACTGTTGTTACAGCCACCATTGACTCACACTACGCTTGTATCCAAATCTTTTTTATATGCTTTTCTAAGCCAAAAATCCCATAATGCACATAAATGCAGGGGTTTGTCTTTATTTTCAATAATATTAATCTCACTTGTTTTAATTCATTATTTCATCTTAGTGAGATACTTTATTTACCATTGCTTATTTTTTTAAAAGTGTATTTCTGATTACATACATAATACTTGTGCAGTAGAAAATATGTGTGATATACAGATATAGTAAAATATTAAAATACTTTTCTCCTCAGATCACAGTGATAAAACTCTCATTGCCTGTTTGTACATCTTTCCATGTTTTAATACTCATATATGTATGTAATTGGCTTACTAGGTCACATAGTTTTATTATTTGCTCTTTTTAATGTAATACTTTTGATATATATTTTGGTACCATGTTTGATTATGTCCCAGCTTTGTGTTGTAATCAGCCTTTGCTTTAAAGGCAACCCATTCTTAATTCATCAAGTTCAGAGTTAAGAAATATTGAAAGAACAGAATCAAATAGAGAGATTGTTACACACACTACATCCTTCATTCAGGTTGACATCACTCTATTAATCAACACTTTGAATGCAGTTGTGCTTTCGCATACTTAAGCAATCTTTCAACATGTGTATCTACATCATGTCCAGAAGAATGGTGTTCAGTCAATCACTTATTCATTGGTTGGATTAGTTTATCCAAATGGAACTTGAGAAAAGTTCCATGCATTGTGTTAAGCATTGCACTCAGGTCCACAGATACAAACTGAATAAAACATATTTTTATGCCTTTAACATACACAGTCCACGGGAAAGGGGCATATTTAAACAAATTTTGTTGGCGTATGTTGAAAGCTAAATGCATAAAGAGTTATGAGGATTAAGGGGAAAGAAAATTAATGTTCCTGAGAGGATTAGGAAAGGCTTCATATTATTTGAAAGATTCTGATCAAATTCCAGAATGAATTCTTGATATAGCTTGAGAGCAGAAGTCAGAGTAAAGGATTTTAAACTGTTATTATCTTTGTTGCCAATGGAAAGCAAAAGGAAAATGAAAAGTAGAGATTAAAAACTCCATTTTTATTGTAACCCTAACTTTTAAAAAAATAGCCTAAGTTATTTAAGCTATACCAAATAAAACTAAGTTCAGATTAAATTGAGGAGTATTCAAAAAAATTGTAACTGATATTAGTAGATATGGACATTTGTATTTTGATGGTAAAGACCTTTGAAAGTTTATAAAAATATTTTGAAACACTTCTATAAAATAAATATATGAATATAATGACATTTTTGTTATTAGTATATATTTTCTGAGATATGTTGTGATATTTATATTATATAATGTATTTATAGAATAGGTACCAGTCCCTGCCTTGATTGATTCATTTGTATTAGTTTCTATAGTCCTCATTACATCAAGATAAGGGAAGTGATAATGGTAACTTACCCTTGAGGAAAATTACATCTATAGTAATCAAGTTACTTGCCCATTGTCCTACGGCTAACAACACAGATTCGGGATCTAAAGCCAGCAAGTACCTTGTATTCACTATGTACCATCACTCTGTAGTTCTTAATGGCTGCATTTTAATAACAATGGCCTAAACACCCTGAGGAAAAAACAATCTAAGTCATATTTGGTCATCTCTAAGTCATATCTAGTCATATTTATTTTGTATTGCTATTATGACAAAACATACTTATATGGTTATTATTTTCTCTGATTCTATAGTTGAGAACTCTTATGTGGATTAATTCTTAGTTTTATTTCTGGAGGTTTAGGTTGCTTGGGCAATTTTAGAAAATAACCTTCCTCAATAGATTTTCTAGAAGCCTGGGAGTCATTTACACTCACTGGTCATTTTTAGAGCCTTCTCTGCTTGGTCATTCTCTGCTGAGCTATTTGCAGCTCAGATGCAATTTTGAATGGACCTTTATGCAAACAGAACCTGCTAAATGTCACCATAAATCTCACTACTTGGCACTATCATGGGGACTGAGGAATATGCCAAGAGCATTAAATACATTTATTTAAAGAGAGTGCTTAGTCTTTGATCAATTGTTGCAAGAATAGAAGAGAAAACAACAGTGTTTAGAAAAGGAAATTCCTCTGGAAAAGGTGACTAAGCTTGCTGTGGGAAGGATGTGTTAAATTGGGGAGTCCATGCTTTTAATATGAAGGCTTTTTAACAGAGGTGACAGCAGACCACCTTGGAGACAAAATAATTGAGTTAGTCTCTACTGTGACATGACTAGATCAGATAGGCAACAAAGAGCAAGCTTCTCTTTGCAGCAAAATCACTTTGATATATCCACAAGCAGAGGACTCAGCCCTGGAAGACACGGGTTCAAACTCAGTTTTCTTGCCTTACCAGATTTTTGTCCTTAGGCAAGTGACAAACGTAGTTTGATCCTCAGTGTGGTCATCTATACAATGCTAATAATTTCCCTAGCTCACCTGATCTAATGAGATGATATATATGAAATATAAGATAATAAAATAACAATGATATTAATATATTTAAAATTGTTATCTGTGATACAATATATTTCTACTTTTCTCATAGCTCTAACACATGTGTGAATTGAATGTTGGGTTCTAGACCAGTATCTAAATGTACAAACTGAAAGCTAGCCTTTATTATTAGCTAGCCTTTGAAAGCTAGCATTTTTATCTCATTTACAATTTTACAAAATTGTGTCAAACACCTTTATATTTTTGTAGTTTGTGAAGAAATTAATGACAAAACTAGTGTGTGTGTGAGTGTGTGTGTTTACTAATTTCTGCAACAAATAAATTAGAAATTACTAATGACCACTGGATTATTCTGTATGGAGGAAGACAGTGGTGCCTAGTCAAAGATTGGCTTTGTTATAAAATTAAAACCAATTTATATTGTAGCTCCAACAAATACAATCTTTGGGAACTTGAAAATGTATTATGGCATTTTCTGAAACTTGCTTTTACACCTGTAAATTGAAGATGATGAGAGCTGGTTTTCTTATCTCAAAGGAATTTATGTGCCACAACAAAGAATGAGTCAGAAACAAGTGCCTTGAGTAAAACTTGGAGCTATTCTCTCATTGTTCAAAGACCATTTACTAATTGTTTACTGTGTAACAAGCCCTGGAATTTTTCTCAATCAAAAAGCACTGATTGATGGTTACTAATATATTTTAGAACTGATTTTTCTTTTTTCTTCTCAAAAATTGGAAGACTCACAATCTTTATGTAGAATGTAAACTACCTAGTTTTACTCAATGTAATTTGTAAAACAGTACTGAAAATAAAAATCTTTATTTTTGATCTTATATCCTGTTCTTGTGTTATCAGCAATAATAACAATCACATTAAAACTAATAGATAAGTCCAGGCATGGTGGCTCACGCCTGTAATCCCAGCACTTTGGGAGGCTGAGGTGGGCGGATCATGAGGTCAAGATATCGAGACCATCCTGGCCAACATGGTGAAACCCCATCTCTACTTAAAATACAAAAATTAGCTGCGTGTGGTGGCGTGCACCTTTAATCCCAGGTACTCGGGAGGCTGAGGCAGAATTGCTTGAACCCGGGAGGTGGAGGTTGCAGTGAGCAGAGATCGTGCCACTGCACTTCAGCCTGGCTACATCTAAAAAAACAAACAAAAAGAAAACCTAATAAGTAAGATTTCATCCTCATAAATTCTTCATGGAAGAACTACCATTATCCCTACTTTATACATGAGGAAGGCATGTTAAGTATCTTACCCATGGCCGTACAGTTAGTACATGGCAGTCATGATTCAATTCCAGATATTCAGATCCTCAAACGTAGAAGCTTAACCATTTTCCAAGAATGCTATTACATTCAAAGTTCTGAAGGAATTTCTTTTAAACATCTGCATAGCAGAGAAAGCTGAAGTAATTTTCTGTAGGTTCTATTACCTGAGCCAGGCAGCATGGAAGGAAGAAATGGCTTTAGTTGTTAGTGATAACAATATATGAATTTCTTACACTGCAATAATTTTCTGTGCCCTTTTACCCTAAAAACTGGTTTTCCTTGTTTTTACACACATTTATCGATTCTTTTACCATTTCTTTTTCTCTTCCTTTGCAGTTTATATACTAGATTTTATTGTATAAATGTGAATGTGTCATGAGTATGGATGGGGGAATGCATTGTGTGATTTATTCTGGAAACTGTCTGTTTCTAGGGAAGGTTTTTTTTGAGAAATCTCTGTCTTATTTCATGATTGCTTTGGTCTTCTTTATCATCAGGGTATGCTTTTTGCATTTCTAAGATCAATCAGAACAAAAGCTAACTAGTTGTACAAAAAAATATGTTACCAAAGTCATCATTTTTAATGTACCTTCTTCAAAGATTGTAAGAAACTTTAGAATCACAACTAAATAAAATTCCTCTAATTTTGCAATGATTTTTACAGCAGAATAGATGTTTTCCCCTTTTCAATACCATGTATAGGCTGGGCGCAGTGACTCACGCCTGTAATTCCAGCACTCTGGGAGGCCGAGGTGGGCAGATCATCTGAGGTCAGGAGTTTGAGACCAGCCTGGTCAACATGGCGAAACCCCGTCTCTGGTAAAAAATACAAAAATTAGCTGGGCCTGGTGGCATGTGCCTATAATCCCAGCTACCTGGGATGCTGAGGCTAGAGAATCGCTTGACCCGGGAGGCAGAGGTTGCAGTGAGCCGAGATTGCACCACTGCACTCCAGCCTGGGCAACAGTGCCAGACTCTGTCTCAAAAAAAAAAGGCACCATATTTACATTAGATGCCAACCAGTAGAGTTTAGAGATGCAGTCATAGCAGATGTTAAGCAGTCTTTTTCCCCAAAGGAAAACTTTGGATGGAGAAACTAGTAGATGTTTGAATTGTACCTTATTATAAGCAAATACAGTCTCCAGTGAGAAGCTGTAAGAACAAGTGTAAAAGAATGAGCATTATTTTCCTACAAAATTTGATTTCAGGATTATTTAAATTAGGTTTAAATATTATCATAGGTTGACAACCTGGAAGTCAAAAAATGAAAAGCTGTCAGATTCTGTAGGAAAAGTCATTTTGACCAGAATAACATTTTAAATGTTCAAAATCAGTTTGCCTTGTATCCAGGGAAATAGGTCTTTGTCTCTTTAGGGTTTCAAAGTACATGTAGGGTGTGTGTGTCTGCGTGTGTGTGTGTTTGTGAGTGTGTGTGTTGAGTATGTATGTGTTAGTTTTGTTTTGTCTCCATTAAATATAATGACCAAGGAGAAATACATGGGTAGCTCAAGATATTAATTTTTATTATATTAAATTTAATATTTAATTAGTATGAGAGTTCTTACTACATCACATAACTTAAAATCCACGGATTCATCTGAAAGCTTCTTGGTTAGCATGAATTATGTTAGATGTTGCATGAGTGTTGTATGGGTGAGGGAAGTGTAGATAACTATTATGTCATCTCAGCTTGTAGAGATAACATGTTAAACATATGTACACCTCCCAGAAATTGTTTACCTTTAGTTGAACAACTATTTATCTTCTTGGATGCAATTAATATTTGTCTGAGAGCCGACGTGGCTCGAAATCTTTGGGTCAATGATGTTCATATGCTCCTCCCTTAATTCATACAGCTGCATATGGTGTTTCTCTTGAGAAGCCAATGACACCTCTGGGCAGGTTGAACATGTTACAGGCACTAGGATGTTGACTCGATTATGCTGAGTGAATATCTTACCTAGTTTTGAATATCAGGGTGGCCTTATTTGTTTTTTTACATTTAAACAAACTTCCCCACCATTTGTGAAATGTAATTAGTTTTTTTTTTAGAGTATTTTCTTTTTTTTCTTTATTTCTTCTCAAAAAATCCAAAACAGATACATGCGCAGAACATGCAGATTTGTTACATAGGTATACGTGTGCCATGGTGGTTTGCTGCACCTATTGACCCATCCTCTAAGTTCCCTCCCCTCACCCCTCACCCCCCAACAGACCCTGGTGTGTGGTGTTGCCTCTCTGCGTCCATGTGTTCTCAATGTTCAACTTCCACTTACGAGTGAGGACATGTGGTGTTTGGTTTTCTGTTCTTGTGTTAGTTTGCTGAGGATGATGGCTTCCAGCTTCATCCATGTCCCTGCAAAGGACATGATCTCCTTCCTTTTTATGGCTGCATAGTATTCCGTGGTGTACATAATTAGTTTTAAAATTTGTTATTTGTAGCCTCAAATCATGTGGGTAGCATTTTTGAAAATTATAAGGCTGACTCAGATAAATGCTTTGTGAAACTCTATTCCACTCCATTTAAAAGAAATGTAAAATATTTATTTTTCTTCCAACCATATTATTGATAGAGTTGGAGAAATGGTTTAGTTTTATACTCTACCTAAGTGTTTCTCAAAATGCACCCAAAAAGCAGAAATTCACTTTTGTGATTTAAATAGAAACTATGGGATTTCAATAGTAGTTACACAAAATAATTTGGGGAATTAATGAAATGTTGGGTCAAACAAAGCTAAATAGGTTTTATCATAATTTATCACAGATTTTAACAATTATTATATTTCTAATGAAAATAATATTAATTTGTTATTGTATACATACTATTTGCTTATTGCTATTCTAGTCTTTTACATGTGCTAACACATACTTCCCTCCATTGAATACAAGAAAGAAGTATTGTTATTATTTCTTTTGCTGTGGTGTAGAATCTGAAATATGAAAAGGACAAATAACTTACTCAAAGTTATTTGAGTATTAGCATTAGTTATTGAGTATTAGCATAGCTAATATGTGGCAGAATTTGAATTCAGACAGAAAATGTGACTCCAGAGCCTATGTCCTTTTTTTTTTTTTTTTTTTTTGGACGGAGTCTTGCTCTGTTGCCAGGCTGGAGTGGAGTGCAGTGGCGCAATCTTGGCTCACTGCAACCTCCTCCTCCCGGATTCAAGTGATTCTCCTGCCTCAGCCTCCCGAGTAGCTGGGACTACAGGCGCCCGCCACCACACCTGGCTAATTTTTGTATTTTTAGTAGAGACGGGGTTTCACCATGTTACCCAGGATGGTCTGGATCTCTTGACCTCGTGATCCACCCGCCTCGGCCTCGCAAAGTGCTGGGATTACAGGCATGAGCCGCCGTGCCTGGCCCGAGCCTATGCCTTTAAATGAAGAAATGTATTGCTCTGGAAAATACTTTTATTGTGCTGATTTAAATCGTAACTCTCAAAAAGGGAATATTATGTTTGACTGTGAACTCATTTCTCACTGAGAATCTGTAAGCACTAATATACCTTATGTCACACCACTGGGAAATGGTGATTTATGAATACTACTAATGCTGCAGTTGTTTGTGAATAAATATGTCAATTTGCGGACATCTTTATTCCACTCATGCAAATAGTAGAGGTCACATATTCTCTATGTATCAAGGGGATGATACTTTTAATAACATATCTGCTTAGCCACATCATTTGAATCTAATCTGCAGTGTTGAAGAGGAACCAGAAAAAATTGCTACATGAGGCTTATTTTTATGCACATTTTATTGCTTCATTGAAATATCCAGCTACCATTGAAGGCTACTGTAACTGCTATCAGTCACTACTATTTTCCTGGCATTCCATATATTTGCATTAATCAGTCCATAAAAGCTTCTCATTTCTTTTCTACCTGTATATGTTTACAGGTCTGAGGCTATCTTGCATATAATTATGCAAGATAACATTTTATATGACATAAAATACAGATATACACACACATATAGATATACAAGTATACAAATATATTTGGTAAAATAAATCATAAATTTAGTCAGTACTTTTGTACACAGCCTTATTAATTATCAATTTTTTCCCAGGTTTTAACTATAAAACTCCCAATTCATCTAATGCAGAAGTGAAGACAGAGTTATTGAAAGTCTGTATAAAATTAAAATTAGCTGGCTGGGTGTAATGGCTCACAACTGTAATCCCAGCACTTTGGGAGGCTGAGGTAGGACGATCACTTGAGGCCAGAAGTTCAAGACCAGCCTGGGAAATATAGCAAGACCTTGTTTCTAAAAAAATAAAATAAAATAAAAATTAGCCATGCATGGTGGTGCATTCCTGTAGCCCCAGCTACTCAGGGGGCTGAGGCAGGAGGATCACTTGAGTCCAGACATTTGAGGCTGCAGTAAGCTATGATAGTGCCACTGCACTCCATCCTGGGTGACAGAGCGAGATTCTGTCTCTAAAAAGTTTTATTTTATTTTTTTTAAAAAAAGAAGAAGTACAATTATCCTAAAAGCTTAATAAACTCAGAAACCGAATGGATTTAAGATGGGAAGATAGAGTGATAGGGAAGACAAAAGGGAAAAATTATAGCTTTTAGAAACATGATACGTTCTTTGCAAATATATGGAATCATTCCATATACGTTGTGAAATTAAATCCGGCTCTGTTCATACTAAGATTATAAATAATATCTTTTATGAATATAGAAAAGAAAAAATAAAAGCAACAAGTGCTATAGTAAATTTAATTGATAACAATGAATCATTCAGGACCTTTTTCCCAGCTGGAATTCTGGAGAGCCAAGTGCATTCTGTCTGCAGATTCATCCGATGCTGAGGAGACATCAATTCTGTGTCCAGAACTCCTTGTGGTACTAAGGGTGAAGCAAGGAACATGGTCAACAATATTCCTAACCTCATGGGGATTACACTGGAGATTACACTCTAGGAGGACAAGGCAGACAACTAATACCAGCAATTTGTTCAGATTTCAATTACTCAGTGAAATCAACCAGTTGGAGGTGGGAGTGATTATTACATAGATACTGATGATAACCAAACAACATCAAAACAAGTTTCTCTTTCCTGCCTCAAAATTTCTCAGTGGCTTTGTAATTTTTAAAGGCACTTTTCATTTGTATCTTTTTCCTTCTTTCTCTGCTTTCTTTCTCACCCTATTTTCCTCTTATATTTTCCAGCATACTTAGATGTTAACTGGCTTTCACTAGTGTTTTGCCATCTGGAGAATCATGTGTTGGGGTTTTGTACAAATATTGTGATTTCTTTTCTATTGTTACAGATGAAATTCTGAAGTACAAAGAGGAGAAATTACTGGCTCAAAGTAATATAAACACATCTCTGTTTCCTGTATCCTTAGCCCTTGATATGTATGGTTTGGCTCTGTGTCCTCACCCGAATCTCACCTTGAATTGTAATAACCCCCACGTGTCGTGGAAGACATCCGGTGGGAAATAATTGAATCATGAAGGCAGGTTTTTCCCATGCTGTCTTTGTGATAGTGAATGAGATCTGATGATTTTATAAAGGGGGTTACCCTGCACATGCCTTTTATGCCTGCTGCCATGTGAGACGTCACTTTGCTCTTCCTTCATCTTCCACCATGATTGTGAGGCCTCCCCATCCATGTGGAACTGTGAGTCCATTAAACATCTTTCCTTATAATTGCGCAGTCTTTGTTGTGTCTTTATTAGCAGCATGAAAATGGACCAATATAGACCTCTTACACCTATATATGAACTGATTTTCAAACAGCTTCAGTGCTCCCCAGTCATGGAGGACCAGGAGATGCACCCAGTGTTGCCTTGTTAAGGTACAAGTAATAAATGAGTGAGCATGGAATAAACAGATCTCCAGTTAGAATAAAATAAAATCACTTTAGAAATGCAAAGGAAAAAAAATAAACTCAATTTTTGAACTACAGGAATACTGAGACATGTGATAAGCCTCCCTCTAATTATACTATGTTTTCTGAGCTGCCTCTGTGCTGTACTGGTAAATACAGAAAATTAAACTGACTCTATTGCTACAGTGGAGACAGCCAAAGAGGAATTAGTACTTCCTTTGCTTTGTGGCCCTGGTAAGCACTTAGGAGGCAGACCAAAAAAAAAAAAAAAAAAAAAAAAAGAAGTCAGCACCAGACGGCTCTTAGCAGAAATGTTCTTAATCATTGAATTGTCCCAAGGAGAAAGCCAAGGAGAAATGCTTTTGAAGGAGGTTGTTACTGAAATTTCATAAATCCATCTGTTTTCTTGGCCTAGTGTGTATGACCCAGGCCCTATAACTTCAGTTATAGTGGCCAGAACCTATAAATCTATACTCTAGCTCAGCTCCCTGGATCTATCATAATACTGTTTAAGGCTGTTTCTTGCAAAACGCACACACACACACACAGGCACATTTCAAATTTTAACAATATTAATGCCTACGTGTACTCAGTATCAAAATTAAAAATATCATTCAAGAAGCACCCAAAATATGCAATAAGACCTAAAACTGTCTAATAGCATTTTGTGGTAACATGTTACATGTTTACATGACATTGTATAGTTAACCCACTGAGCCATGATAAAAAATATGCTGAGCAGATGGCTTTGATTCTTTATTTTTTTTTTGACAAGAGTCTCAATCTGCTGCCCAGGCTGGAGTGCAGTGGCGCAATCTCAGCTCACTGCAAGCTCAGCCTCCTGGGTTCACGCCATTCTCCTGCCTCAGCCTCCCAAGTAGCTGGGACTACAGGCGCCCGCCACCATGCCCCGCTAATTTTTTTTTTTTTGTATTTTTAGTAGAGACAGGGTTTCACCACGTTAGCCAGGATGGTCTCGATCTCCTGACCTCGTGATCCGCCCCCCTTGGCCTCCCAAAGTGCTGGGATTACAGGCTTGAGCCACCGTGCCCGGCCCAGATGGCTTTGATACTTCCCTGGTGTTTAGATGATGGTGATTCAGGTATACTATGATAATATCTCAGTAACATGAAAAACTACAACCTTTTGGTTGAAATAACCTTGGCTATAATAATAAAAATAAAGCTGAACAGCATTTTCTGACTTAATTCCCACATCAACCTCATTAGGTAATGTTTATGATTATCCACATGTCCAAATGAGGAAATTGGGAGTGAGTTTAAGTATCTTACTTTTAGTCACACAGCTGGTAAGTAGTGTAACCTACACAGCTTTTGAATTATGCCCTAACTACTACTAAATTGCCATATCAGTTAGCATGTTGATCACTTCAAATAGTAGGCAATTTACTACATGTATTTAATCCCATTATATTTTCTAAAATGTTAGATGTTGCTTTAAAAAGCAAAATCTGAACCCAATTTATATCCTGTCTCCAATGTATGTCCACTTGTCTGTAGCTACTGAGACTGAAGAGCAGCATCCAAGAGAGATACTTTGTGGAAATTCCTTTTCTTACATTTAGAATGAATGACTCAGCCATGATCCATTGAAGAAGACATTATTGAGCGCTTATTATGCGTACGGAAATATATGGTAAAAAGATGAACTAGTGTAAATCATTCCTGCGTAATCTTTCAGCCCAATAAGGGAGATAGCATGAATTTAAAACAATTTAGAAAATAGGTATAAAAGGGAAGTACAAATAAAACGTCATAGGATTTAGAAGAGGAAGATATTGCTCTTATGGGAAGAAATTTGAGACCGTTTGATAGGGAATGAGAAGGCATTGGTGTTCAAGCTAAATAATGGACAAGGTTTAGAGAAACAAAGATGGGAAACCCTTCTTTGCAATGGTAGCATAGGCAAAAAAGTAGAGGCTGGAAAGTGTGACTCTTCTGTGGGTATAACAATGTTGAAAATAGTCACCACTCAGTGAGTATCTATATGACATAGACTGTGGTGTGCACTTGGCATACCTTCCTTTCAAATCCATGGTAACCTTGTAAGATAGATATTACAGATGTGGAAATTGGAGTGCAGGGAGCTTTAAAGATTTCTCCGTGGGAGTAGCTTCTCAGTATTAGTTTGAATTCCAACCCAAATTTGATTGGGTTACCATATGACACAGGTTTTCACAAACTACAAAAAAGCAGTATCCCTTATTGTGGATAAATATTTGAAAGGGACTGATGAAACCAAAAAAAATTGAAAAGTTAAATTGGGTCCTGGAAAAAAATAGCGTGTTTTTATACGCCAAGGATTGTTGTGACTCTTTCTTCACTTAATACTCATAATAACTCTATGAAGTAAGTATTATTACGATTAACCCCTTTTCTAGAGGAGAAATCTGAGCTATACAGAAAGTAAGTTTCCTGGGGACTCAGAGCCAGAATTCAAACCCAGAAGTCTAGCATTCGAATTTGGGCTTTTAACCACTAGGATTGGCTGCCTCTCAGATGACTGAGGATAGAGAATTTTGAAAGGCTGAGTAAGGGATTTGGATTTCCTTATGAAATAACAAGGAGGCAGTGAAAATGTTTGATCAGAAAGGTGACAAAATCAGAGCTTACACTTGAGATAAATTATCTTGATGCAATGTATGCTTTGGATCAAAAAGGGGAGGGCCAAACAAGGGATAATTTTCCTATCTGGATGAAATATAATCAAGGAATGAATTACTTTATTTTTGGAGGGAAGCAAATACTTGGGCAAGAGATATTTTAAAAGGAAAATGGCAGATTTTGCCACTTATTAGAAGACGTGAGAACCAGGGAAGATCTAGGAGACATTTCTAATGAGAATAGAGGTTTGTGGCTTTCTAGAATGTTCATGAACCCTTCAAGGATTCCTTTGTATCTTTACTCTCTTTTCTTGATAGTCTTGCCCTGAGTTCCATCTAATGCTTGTCCACTAACCACACTGGTTACCCAGCAGCCTCTCATGTATGTTAATCACTTAACTTAAGAGTGGAGTAAATGTCCTGCTTATTTTTCCTTCCTCTCTCAAAATCTTTATATATTTTGATGTATAGGCCACTGGGAGACATTATCTGCTACTGCTCCTCAACCCACCTCCCTGACATTCACTCTTATTAATGGAAAATTTGGTCACCTGGGTCAGTCACTGTCTTTATATTCATTACTTCATAATTCTTGATGAATTTTTAAAATATGGAGAATATTTCATATCACATATATTATGTTACATGTATAATACATAAAATATTGCATAATCATGTGCATATGTGTAGGTGTGCATGTGTATGTATGTGTATGTATATACACATATCCTGGCATCCCATTTCAGCTTCCTTCTGTTATGTTTTTTACCAATAACTGCTGTGCTACATCCAAACTTGTATTTTGGTATCCCACCTTCAAACCTGTGCTGAGAATTGTCGCTACCTGTGACTCTAGTGCCCACTTCAGCAACTCCTCATTCCCATCAACCAAGAGAGTGCTGATGTCATCCCTCCTCTAACCTCAGGCTGCACAGCCTGAGACTCCAAAAGAGGCCCCATGGCAGTGTTGGTACCTAAGGTGCAAGGCAAAGACCCCTTTACTTTTCCCTCTGCTTTCCTCAAGCAGAAAATGTTTTGCCCCATAGACACCACAGCTGGTTATATACTGGGTCTCACTTGACGCCAGCAAGTCTCAGAGACTCACCAATACCCTTTGTTTAGTACCTGGGTATGGCTGCTGGTTATTCAGGGCCCAAGGGCTCTTCAGTTAGCAGGTGATTAATCCTGGCAGGACTGGGTCCTTTCCTTCAAGGCAGTGATTTTCCTTCTGGCCTAGGTTGTATCTAGAAGTGTATTCTGGAAGCCAGGGCCTGAAATGGGGGCCTCCTTACTCGGACCACTGCTGTGGCTAGCCGTAAATTAGTCTTCCTCAGTCTTCCCTCTTATGTCCTCAAGCAGAAAGAAGGGGTCTCTGCCATGGGGAGTAGAGTTCCAAGTGAGCTCTTGGGGTCCCAATTCTAAAACAGTCAAGTTTTAGAGTCAACTATGATGGCATTTCTGGACCTGCCCTGGGCCGAAGGGGAGCCCACTGCCCTGAAGGAAAAGTCACAGGCCAGGCACCATTCATGACAAGCTGACTTAAAAGACCTTGGGCCTTAAGGGAACATTGGCGGTAGTCTGGAAGTATTTCTTGTGGCACAGGATGGCAGTGGCTATGGAGTGAGGACCCTTGCCTTTGGAAAGGGAAAGGGGGACATCATGTTTGAGTGCCAACTCAGCCGCAATAAAATAGAATATCAGGTAAATTTCTAAGGTTTCTGACCATAGTCCCTGACTCCTGGATGGCACTTCTGGACCCACGTGGGTCTTAGGGGACCTTGCCGCCCTGAAGGAAAGGACATAGGCCTGGCTGGCTTTGCCACCTACTGATTGTAGAGGCCCAGGGCCTTGAATAAACATAGGCAGTATCCAGGGACTGGTTACGGCAGGTCTTGGGTGAGATGCAGTGTTGTGCTGGTTTCAGGTCTGACCCAATGCAGTCATAGTGGTGGTGGCCACAGGTGTGCTTGTCACTCCACCCTCAGCTTTAGGTGGCTCAGAAAAGAGAGAGAGACTGTATGCTTGGGAAAAAGTAAGAAAGAGAACAAGACCGTCTGCCTGAAAAAGCAGAGAATTCTCCTGGATTTTGCCTAAGACCATCAAGTTGGTACTTCTATGAGTCTGCAAGAACCAGAGTTACAGGGCTAAGGGTGTCCCTAAACAGAAACAGCTTAGATCACAACTCCCAAGTCTTTTCAAATATCCAGTAAGCCTTTCTAAGAAGGAGAGCTACAGATGAGCCCAGGCAGTGAAGACTACATTAAATAACCCTTCAATGACCAGACACTGAAGAACATCTACGAGCATCAACACCATTCATGAAAACATGACTGCACCAAATGAATTAAACAAGACACCAGGGACCAATCCTGGAGAAACAGAGATATGTGACCTTTCAGATAGAGAATTCAAAATAGCTGTGTTGAGGAAATTCAAAGAAATTCGAGATAACACAGAGCAGGAATTCAGAATTGTATCAGGTAAATTTAACAAATAGATTGAAATAATTAAAAAGAATCAGGAAGAAATTCTGGAGCTTAATAATGTAATTGGCATACAGAAGAATGCAGCAGAGTTTTTAATAGCAGAATGGATCAAGCAGAAGAAGGAATTAGTGAGCTTGAAGACACACTACTGGAAAATACACAGAAGAGACAAAAGAAAAAAGAATAGAATACAATATAGCATACCTACAGGGTCTAGAAAATAAACTAAAAGGGAACATCTAAGAATTATTGGCCTTAAAGAGGAGGTAGAGAAAGAGATAGGGGTAGAAAGTTTATTCAATGGGATGACAACGAGAACTTCCCAAATGTATAGAAAGATATCAATATCTAAGTATAAGGTTATAAAACACCAAGCAGATTTAACCTAAAGATTATCTCAAAGCATTCAATAATCAAACTCTGAAAGGTCACAAATAAAGAAATAATCCTAAAAGTAGCAAGAGAAAATAAAAAAAATCATACAATGGAGCTCCAATACATCTGCCAGCAGCCTTTCAATGGAAACCTTATGGGTCAGGAGAGAGTGGAATGACATATTTAAACTGCTGAAGGAAAATAACTTTTACCCTAAGATAGTATGTCTGGCAAAAATATCCTTCAAACATGAAGGAGAAATAAAGACTTTTCCAGACTGACAAAACCTGAGGGATTTCATCAATGCCAGACACGCCCTACAGGAAATGCTAAAGGGAGTACTCCAATAAGAAAGAAAAGGAAATTAATGAACAACAAATAGTTACCTGAAGGTACAAAACTCACTGGTAATAGTAAGTACACAAAAACACAGAATATTATAGCAATGTAACTGTGGTGTGTAAACTATTTTTATCCTAAGTAGAAAGACTAAACAATGAACCAATCAAAAATAATAACCAATCAAAAAATTTTCAAGACATACTTAATGCAATAACATATTACCAGAAACAGCAAAAAGTTAAAAAGTGGAGGAATGATGTCAAGGCATAGAGATTTTTATTAGTTTTCTTTTTGCTTGTTTGTTTGTTTATGCAAATAGTGTTAAGTTGTTATCAGGTTTACCTAGTTGGTTGTAAGATGGTATTTGCAAGCCTCATGGTAACCCCAAATGAAAAAACATACAATGGAAACACAAAAAATAAAAAGTAAGAAATGAAATTATATCACCAGAGAAAATCACTTTCAATAGAAAAAGACAGAAAGGAAAGGCAGAAGGAAGAGAAGACCACAAACAATGAGAAAATAAACAAATAACAAAATGCCAGGAGTAAGTCCTCCCTTATCAATAATAACATTGAATGTACATGGACTAAACTCTCCAATCAAAAGGCATAGACTGGCAGGATGAAAGAAAAAACAAGACCCATTGATCTGTTGCCTACAACAATGTACTTCACCTATAAAGACAAATATAGACTGAAAATAAAAGGATGGAATAAAATATTCCATGCCAATGGAAACCAGAAGAAGGGCAAGCATCACTATACTTATATTAGACAAAATAGATTTTGAGACAAAACCTGTAAGAAGAGACAAAGAAGGTCACTACATAATAATAAAAGGGTCAATTTGGCAAGAGAATATAACAATTTTAAATACATATGCACCCCTGGAGCAACCAGATATATAAAATAAATATTATTAGAGCTAAAGAAAGAGATAGTCCCTCATACAATAATAGCTGGAGACTTCAACACCCCACTTTCAGCATTGGCCAGATCTTCCAGACAGGAAATCAACAAAGAAACATTGGAATTAATCTGTACTATAGACCAAGTGGATCTAAGAGATATTTACATGATATTTCATCCAAGAACTGCAGAATACAGATTCTTTTCCCCAGCTCATGGATTACTCTCAAGGATAAACCATATGTTAGGTCACAAAACGAGTCTTAAAACCCTCAAAAACACTGAAATAATATCAAACATCTCTGACAACAATTGACTAAAATCAGAAACTAATAACAAGAGGAATATTGGAAACTATACAAATACATGGAAACTAAATAATATGTTCCTGAATGACCAGTGAGTCAATGAAAAGTTAAGAAGAAAAGTGAAAAATTTATTGAAACAAATGATAATGGAAACACAAGATACAAAAACCTATGAGATGCAGCAAAAGCAGTATTAAAAAAGAAGTTCGTAGCTATGAATGCCTACCGTAAAAAAGAAGAAAAACTTTAAATGAAATTTAATGATGCATCTTAAAGAACTAAAAAGACAAGAGCAAAGCAAACCCCAAATTAATAGAAGAAAAGAAATAATAAAGATCAGATTAGAAATAAATGAAATTGAAATAAAAAAATACAAAAGATCAATGAAACAAATAGTTGGTTTTGTTTAACAAAAGCAATAAAAATTAATCAAAATTGACCAATCTTTAGCCAGAATAAGAAAAAAAAAGAAGATACAAATAAATAGAATCAGAAATGAAAAAGGAGACCTTACAACTCTTACTGCAGAAATTCAAAGGCTCATTAGTGGCTACTATGGACAACTATATGCCAAGAAATTGGAAAATATAGAATAAATGGACAAATTTCTACATACATACAACCTTCCAAGGTCTAACCAGGAAGAAATGCAAAATGTAAACAGACCAATAACAAGTAATGAGATTAAAGCTGTTATAAAAAGTCTTCCAGTAAACAAAAGCCCAGGACTCGATGGTTTCACTGCTGAATTCTGCCACTTAAAGAACTAATACCAACTCTACTCAAACTATTTCAAAAACAGTAGAGGAGAAGGGAATACTTCCAAACTCATTCTACAAGGCCAATATTACCCTGATACTAAAACCAGACACATGTAAAAAAGAAAATTACAAGCCAATATCTCTGATAACTATTGCTGCAAAAATCCTCAACAAAATACTAGCAAACTGAATTCAACAATACATTTGAAAGATCATTCATCATGACCAAGTGCAATTTATCCCTGGAATGTAAGTATGTTTCAACATACACAAATTAATTAACATGATACATTGTATCAACAGAGTGAAGGTTAAAAACCATATGATCATTTCAATTGATGCTGAAAAAGAATATGGTGAAATTCAACATCCATTCATGAAGAAAACCCTCAAAAACTGGGTATAGAAGGAACATACCTCGACATAATAAAAGTCACATATGACAGACCCACAGCTAGTATCATACTTAATGGGGAAAAACAGAAAGTCTTTACTCTAAGATTTGTAACATGACAGGGATGCCCACTGTCACTATGTTATTCAATATAGAACTGGAAGTACTAGCTAGAGCAATTAGACAAGACAAAGATATATAGGACATCCAAATTGAAAGGAAGGAGTCAAATTATTCTTATTTGCTGATAATATGATCTTATATTTTGAAAAACCTAGACTCTGCAAGGAAACTATTAGAACTGATAAACAAATTTGGTAAAATTTCAGGATACAAAAATTAACTTACAAAATCAGTAGAGTTTCTATATGCCAACAGTGAACAATGTGAAAAAGAAATTTTAAAAGTAATCCCATTCACAATAGCCATACATAAAATTAGATACCTAGAAATTAACTTATCCAAAGTGAAAGATCTCTATAATGAAAACTATAAAATGCTGATAAAGGAAATTGAAGAGAACATCAAAAAATGGAAAAATACTCCATGTTCATGGATTGGAAGAATCAATATAGTTGAAGTGTTCATACTAAAGCAATTTACAGATTCAATGCAATCCCTATCAAAATACCAATGACATTCTTCACAGAAATAGAAAAAACAATTCTAAATTTCTAAAATTTATATGGAACCACAAAAAAAACCCACAATAGCCAAAGCTATCCTAAGCAGAAAGAACAATACCAGAGGAATCATGTTACCTGATTTCAAATTATACCAAACAGCCCGGTATTGGCATAAAAACAGACACATGAACCAATTTAACAGAATACAGAACCCAGACACAAATCCATACGCCTGTTGTGAACTCATTTTTGACAAAGGTGTCAAGAACATATACTGAGGAAAAGACAGTCTCTTCAATAAATGATGCTGGGAAAACTGGATAACCAAATGCAAAAGAATAAAACTAGACCCCTATCTCTTGCCATATTAAAAAATAAAATCAAAATGGATTAAAGACTTAAATTTGAGACCTAAAACTATGAAACGACCACAAGAAAACATTGAAGAAAATCTCCAGCACATTGATCTGGACAAAGATTTTTTGAGTAATACCCCACAAGCACAGGCAACAAAAGCAAATATGGACAAATGGGATCACATCAAGTTAAAAAGCTTCTGCACAGCAAAGTGCAGAAAAAAACCCAGAGAATAGAAGAAAAATATTTGCAAACTACCCCTTTGACAAAGGATTAATAGTTAGAATACGTAAGGAGCTCAAACAACTCTATAGAAAAAAAATCAAATAACTTGATCAAACCATGGGCAAATGATTTGAACAGCCATTTCTCAAAAGAAGACTTATGAATGGCAAACAGGCAACTGAAATGATGCCCTACCTCACTGATCATTAGTGAAATGAAAATCAAAACTACAATCAGATATCATCTCATCCCATTTAAAATGGCTTATATCAAAAAAAAAAAAAACAGGTAATAACAAATACTGACAAGGATGTGGAGAAAAGGCAACCCTTGTATACTGTTGGTGGGAATGTAAATTAATACAATAACTATGAAGAATAGTTTGGAGTTTCTCAACAACCTAAAAATTGAGCTACCATATGATCCAGCAATCCCACTGCTGGATATGTAACCAAAAGAAAGGAAATCAGTATATCGAAGAGATATCTGCACTCCTATGTTTGTTGCAGCACTGTTTACAATAGCTAAGATTTGGAAGCAATCTATGTGTCCATCAGCAGACGAAGGGATAAATAAAATGTGCTGCACATACAAAATGGAGTACTACACATCTATAAAAATGAATGAGATTCTGTCATTTGCAGAATGGATGGAACTGGAGATCATTATGTTAAGTGAAATAAGCCAGGCACAGAAAGACATGCATCACATGTTCTCATTTATTTATGGGATCTAAAAATCAAAACGATTGAACTCATGGACATAGAGAACAAAAGGATGGTCGCCAGAGGCTTGGAAGGGTAGTGTGCGGTTAGGGAGGAGGTGGGGGTAGTTAATGGTACAAAATACAGAAAGAATAAATAAGATCTACTCTTTGATAGCACAATAGGGTGACCCTAGTCAATAATAATTTAAGTGTATATTTTTAAATAACTTAAATAATGTAAACGGATTGTTTGTAACTCAAAGGGCAAATGCTTGAGGGGATAGATATCCCATTGTCCAAGATGTGCTTATTTTTCATTGTGTAATTGTATCCAGATATCTCATGTACCCCATAAATATATACACCTACTATGTACACACAGTTTTTAAAAAATACGCCAAAATGTCTTAGAAAAAAATTATGGTGGAAGAACATATTTATTAACCATTTCTGGTTTGCAAATGAAAGCAACTCAAATGAAACTGACTTCCAGCAGGAAATCTTTAAGATTCTGATATATTTATCTTGGAATTTGTCCTGGGCTTATGAGTATGATACAGGAATAATCCAGAAAACAGAAGGCCATTTACTAAAAATGACCATAGCAGATGCTGGGTTTCATGCTGAAGCATTCTGAGTACTTTAGTCCTTTGAATTACTTTCTTTCCATGCAGTAACTGCATCCTAGTACATTTATTCAACATGAAAACTGGGATTGATTTTTAAAAGTATAGAGTCTGCATGCCCTGTGCCCTGTGTTCTACTGACCTGATTGGTAAAGATTTTCTGAGTTTTTGAAAGGACAAAAGTAAATTGAAAAGTAGTGAGAAAGAAAAAGCAAAAGTTGGATTAAATTATGTAAGTAGAAATAAAATTATGTAGAAAATGCAAGTTATTAAGTCTATATTCTTGCTAGGACGGCTCTCAAATTTAAATATAATGCTTGTACCAGTAAAAGTGAGAAGAGAAATATTGCCAACTATACAATGCATGGTGGCCAAAGGATTAAAAGCTGTCCTGTTACTTTAGAGAAGCACAGCTGCCACTTATGCAATGCAATATCCTGAGATATTTCTCATAGGAATCATCATAGAAAAGATGATGTATATGCTGAGAAAAACACCTTAACATCATCTTCATAAATGACATTTATATTAGAAAATCTCTTCACATTTCAAGTCAAAAAATATAGAAATCTTATTAAATAAGACCTTTTCTTGGCCTGCCTTAAAGATACTTGGTGTACTAGAAACTGCTTAGAACATTCATCATGAGAGCAAATAGAAGGTGATTGTGAAACAAGTGACCTTAAAACTCTGAAATTTGACTGTTGAGACATGTCACAGCTCTGTGACAACTACAGCAGTGCCAGCACAGGCCCTTGATTCTATTACAAAAATAAAATCTTATAACAATGACAATCACTGTTGACAAGAATGCCCTTTTTTAGTCCTTCTCAGTGGTGACAGACCTAGTGTGTCAAATTTAGACCCAACAGAATTTTTTGAACAGAACAGGGTTCATCATTTTCTTGCTTTATAGTAGAATGCAATGAAGGAGCAGACTATCTTGTATTTGAAGCATACAGCCTACCTGGTTCCAAGTACTGTTGCTTATTAGTTGTACTCTCTCCCTCCCTCGCTCCTTTCCTTCCTTAATTTTTTTCTTTTATTCCTTCCTTTACACACCACTGATTTAACATGTGTTGAATACATAGTTTGTGCCAGGGAAATCTTTAGCAAGTAAGTAGTTAGGAAAGCATGTCTTATGTTTTATGAGCTAAAAATGCAATTATGTTTTGAGAAAAGATGAAAAAAATGGAATTTTCTAGCTTTTTCTGGGGCCATCAAGAAAGACACGTCAGATGCATCTTTGAGGATAAATAATGGCTCACCAGAAAAATCAGACGGAAGAAGAAACAGGCTGTGATAACTCCAGAGCTTTGAAAGAGCATATTATGTTCTGGGAACTGCAAGTATTTTCAATGTCTGGAGAACAAGAGGCATATGTGTGACTGCAAAAGATAAACCATCATTTACATACTACTGACCCTCAAATTTAGTTTGTTGATAATTGAGAGTGATTGAAATGTTTAAAGCAGGACATTGAAATGAGTATATTTGTGTTTTAAATAGTGGCAAGGTGGAGGGAAAGTAGAGAGGTCAAGTCTGAAGGAGGAAATTCAGTTAACATGGAAACATAGAAAAGGAGAATGGTGAAGTGAAAGGAGCATGGGCATTAAAGCAGAAACCAAGGTACAAATCCCAGCAGATAACAGTAATAACTGAGGTTGATATGGCACTTCAGAAATTCAGTATTTTAAGTGTTTTATCTTATTTAATTCAAATGTTCAACTATGTTCAAGAGGCTCTCAGCATCTTGAATGTCTTATAATCCAGCTGTTGTTTTCAATATGCTGTGTAATTTTGTAGTCCAGTCAGGCAATATCCTTTTGGCAGAATTATTTTTTTAATGATTCCATTTGGAAAATGTGTTAGCATTCCTCTTAGACAAAAATATCAATTTGATGAATAAAAATCAATGTATTGATTTCCACTTAGTATAAAGAATATAAATTTGTAGAAAATACAATCGTAGAGTTTAGCCTTTTAATATTACAGGATACTTGAAGATCTTCGCATTCTCCCTAGAACCATAATTACCTCTTGAACATAATACGTCTTTAAGAACTCAGTTATATACATGTTGAAGTTACACAAGGGAAGATAAGTTAAACCAGAAAGCTCCTTAGTGAGCAAAGAAACATAATCAGGAGGAAAAAAAAATGTATTCTTCAATTACTTAATGTTGTATGAAAATAATCTGCTGAATCTATTTCCAAAATGCTCATCTACTATTGAACTGGACTGTGTGATTTTATTTTTATGTAAATTAAGATTTTTCATGTGATTTGGATAGCATAGGTTTTATAATTTATAATTTAGAAAAAAAAAGTTTAGAATGTGTGGTTATGCCTCCAATGGTTCTGCAATTGTATAACTCATCTATCTATTCAGTAACGAATTACTATTGTTAAAGCACAAAAAATCTGGACTTCCACTTCCAATCAAGATGGAAGAAACCCTCAGCAGCCTATCTCTTCCACTGACTACAACTTAAAACCCTGGGAAAAATACCGAAAGCAACATACCTGAGACTTCTGAAAAGTGATCGGTGATTAATAGCAGGTAGATTGGGGCAGGAAGGCAAAACACTGAATAACAATATGGCAGTTAAGAGTCCCTCGTATTTTTTTCACCATCTTTATCTCTCAGCTTTGACACAACAGTAGACCAAATTGAGAAATTATGTAACACACAGCAAACTCCAAGAAACATTTATCTTTCTGGCCAGAGGTCTGGGGAAAAAGGAAGCTGTGGACCAGAAAGTGTGAAGAGGGTAAATCCTTATTTGTTTTTTCCCTATTTTCATTAAAGCCCTACCCTGAGGCCAACCTGACTCATGGGACAACAATGCTATATTGCTGTGGTGATGGCCTTGGGCATCTAAAACCCTACAGAGAAGGATTTTTCCTCTGAATAGAGAAACTGGAAAATGTATCCTTTGTTGTACAGAGCGTGAAGAGACCCCGCATTAATATTTCTCTCTCTTTCACTCATTGCTTCACTCCAAAAGGTAGGCTCAATTGTAAACAACTGCTTAACCGAGTGGGAAGCTAAACCTCTGATAGAAACCTGCATTTCTGGGCAGCAAAACTAGAAAAGGGGGTTTCTCTCTCATTGAGGGTGGGAGAGTGTGGGAGAAATTGTGTATGAACCTATACCAGTTCTGGGCTCACTGCTAAGCTGTGCATACATGGAACACATCCAAAGAATCGTGACAGCAATTTTGAAATTAAATTAAAGTGTAAACTACTGTCCAAGTTCCAGACGGAATCTGAGTTGCACATGTGACAGGCTCATCCAAATAGCATAGCAAAGGCTTTAAAAACTGATCTGAAGTTAGAACCACTGCCATTGGAAGGTGCAACAGAATTTGGAGTTTATACCCAACTGGGTTGATTGCTTGCTAAAACAAACAAATAATCAGCATTCTACCCAAAGTTGCTTTAAAAATATAATACTCAAAATATATAGAATAAAATCCAAAGTTTCTCAACATACTCAAAAGTATGAAACTATGAGAAATTATCAAGGGAAAAGACAAGCAACATAGTAACCTCAAGAAAATCCAGGTATTGAAATGATCAGATAAACATTTTAGAGTAGTTATTAGAACCATGTTCCATTAGGTAGAAGTACAAAGTTTTTAGATGAATAGGAAGACAATAATTCTCAGTTGAGAAATAAAAAACTGTAATAAAGACCAAATGGAAATGTTAGAACTGAAAAATCAGAACTAAAAAATTTTATTGGATAGGCTCAATAGCAAAATAAAAATAAATGAAGAAAAAGTCATTAACCATAAATACAGAACAATATAATTTATCATATTTGAAGACTAGAAAGAAAAAAATAATGGACAAAGCCTCGGTGATATGTGGAAAATATTAAAATGTTTAACATTTGTGTTGTTTGATTCTCTGAAGGATGGGATAAAGGCATGGATGAAGAAAAAATAAGAAACAATGACTAGAAACACACCAAATTTGATAAAATAAATACATTTACAAATTCAAGAAGCTTAGTGAACACAAAATAGGATAAACTCAATGAAAAAAATGTTCAGATACATTATAATCATACTTTTCAAAACCAAAGTTAGAAAAAATCTTGAAGCTGGAGGAAAATGACACATTATGTATCAGGAAACAATAGCTAGAACTAATGCGAATTTCTCACCAAAAGCCATTGAGACCAGCAGATGGTGAAAAAATACAGTCAGAGTGCTGGGGGAAAAAAGATGTTCAATCTATATTGTATATCCAGTTAATATATCTGTCAGGAATAATGGAGAAATAAACATATTATCAGACTTAGGAAAAACTAAGAGACTCTGTCATTAGTGTATTTGCTTTAAAACAAATACAAAAGGAAATTTTTATGATGGAGAGATATGATCCCAGAGGAAACCTTGGAACTTTAGAAATGAAGAATTAAAAACAGAATTGGTAATAGGAAAATTGTAATAGGATTTTTTTTTCACTCATGAATTATTTAAAACATTTATGACTGTTAAAAGCAAAACTCACAACATTGGGATTACTTTAAAGTATATAGGTGTAATACATATGACAAATATAACAAAAATAAAGAAGTGTAAATAAACTCATATGGTTGTAAGGCTCCTGTACATCCATAAAGGAGTAAATATTTATTTTAAGTATATCTATAAAGAAATAAATGTTTATTCTAAGGAGACTGTGAAAAGTTATTAGATTATATCCTTTATAGAAGCCACTAATAAATGGATACAAAACATTATAACCTAAATGACAGTAGGAAAATTAAAGTGTAATACCAAACATGCTCAAGTAATTCAAAAGAAGGCAGGAAAGGAGGAACAGAAACAGAAGAAACAAACAGAAAAATAATGAAATGTTCTTTATAATTACTTAAAATATAAATAGTCTAAACATAAATTTAAATGTGGAGATTGTTAGATTTGATTTTACAAAACACAATTAAATGCTGTGTACAAGAAACCCATATTAAATATAATAGTACGAGTAGATTAAAAGTTACAGGGTAGGAGAAGATATATCATACAAATACTAACCAAACTAAAGATGGGGTAGCTATATTGATATCATGCAAAATAGACTTCTGAACAAGAAAAATTTCCAGAGAAAATTAAGGTATTAAATAATGATGAGGGTAAATTCACCAAGATGTAGCAATCCTCAATGTGTATGCACCTAACAACAGAGATACAAAATAGATGAAGTGAAACATGGATCAAACTAATAGGAGAAATATACAAATCTACAATTATAGTTGAAAAATTCAACTCTCTACTCTCAGTAATTGATAGAACAAGCAGACCAGAAAATCAACAAAGGTATATAAGTCATGAAAAATGCTATAGATCTACTTGACCTAATTGATGCTTATTTAACACTGCCAAAAATAGCAGGATACATATTCTTTTCTAGAGAACATAGAGAATTCATCAAGATAAACCATAATCTGTGACATAAGACAAATCTTAACAACTCTAAAAGATCTGAAAACATACAAACTGTGTTATCTTACTGTAATCACATTAAAATAGAAATCAAAAAGAAAAAGATGTCTGTAAAATCCACTAAACGTTTAGAAATTTAACTTTTAAATAATCTTTGTCAAAGGGGAAGTTTACGGGGAAATGATAAAATATTTGCAACTGATGAAAAATAAAAACACCATATCAAAAAATGTAGGGTACAGAAAAAACAGTTATTCAAGGCAAACGTACAGCATCAAATGCTTATATTAAAAAGGCAAAATTATTCAAATCAATAGCCTAAGCTTCAACCTTAAAATACTAGAAAAAAAGAGAAAAAAACATAGCAGAAGTAAAAACATTACCAATATCAGAAATACAATATATCAGATTGTACAGACATTTGCCTTTATATTATTATGAGATAACTTGAGGAAGCTTTCATATGTTTAAAGGTCATTGGTCTATATTTTACTTTAAACTTCTGTTCATATCTTATGCTCATTTTCTCTCAGCTTTCATATTTTGAAAATAATTTTTATAAGGCTTTTGATATGCTAGTGAGAGAGTACTGTATCAGTGATATGTGTTACCAATATTTTCTGTAAATTTGATTTTTTGAGTTTGCTTTTGATAATTTTCTATGCAAAATATCATATTTTTTACTATTATATAGCCTAATTTATTGATCTTTTTAGTGTATCAAGGTTTTGAGTATTCTTTAAAAGTTCCTAACACTGGGTTAAGAAAGAATTCACCAATGTGTTTTCTAGTACTAATTTTTTTATTTTTATTTTTTTGCGTTTAGATCAATGATACTTTTAAGTTTTTCTTATGTGTAGTGTGAGATATGAGACCTGTTTAATCAGTTACAAATGGCTGTCCAGTTTTCTCAATATAATTAAAAATATTTATCTTTTATTCAGTGATTTTAAAGTGCTACCTTTATCATATTCTATCATTATGTACTTGGTTTATGTGCTTCTGGAATATTTATTCTATTCCACTGGTCTGTTTTTCCATGAGTCAATATTACAAGATATATTACAGAGGCTTTAGGTGTTTCAGCGTCTGGTAGGGCTTGTCCCCTTTTATTGCTTATCTCCCTTTCCATTCCAGTGCTTTCCTATTATGTCATCTTTGTTTTCTATCTAAAATTTAGAATAAATTTGTTTACCTAAAATTTAGAAACAATTTGATTAGTTCCCAATCAAATTGTAATTTTATTGGGACAAGGTTAAAGTTGTAATAGTAACTTTGGGAGAATGGACATTGTTTGATATGTCCATTCCAAAACAAAAAATCTCCTTCCATTTGTTCAAGTCTATTTTCATGTCTTTCAGGAATATTTTAAGGTTTTCCTTACTGAGTTTTTTGTTTTTCACATTTGCTCCTAAATATCTTACTTTTGTTGTTGCTTTGTAAGTGGGTTATATTGTTTTCATTTGTGAACACTATTGACTTTTGCATGTTAATGTATGTTTCTGCTATCTTTTTGAAGTATTTTATTGTTTGTATTGATTTGAAAATAATTTTTAGTTTTCCAGTTATATAAATAGTGATAGTAGGGTGATAATGGGCGCTCTATGTTAATGAAAATTTACCCTACTGTTTCCCCACTTAGCAGGATGCTAGTTTTCATATTATATAGATATAAAATCCTGTTAAATATCTATTGTATACTATTTTAATAGTGTTTCTATAAAAACTGTTGTTACTTTTTTTCAAAAGTCTTTTCAACATTTAAGGAGATAATCATAACTTTTCTCCTTTGGTCCACTAATATGGTGAATTCTATTAATGATATCCCAGTATTTAATCAACCATTAATTCTTTGGTGTGAATGATAATGCTATCTTTAATAGATGTGTTTCAATGTTACAGTGATTAATGTTAAAAATTGGAAACTTTTCCCCCGAATGATCTGAAACTTTTTTTTTCTTTTTTCTTTTTCTTTTTCTTTTTTTTCTTTGGACAGAATCTCACTCTGCGGCGTCCAGGCTGGAGTGCAGTGGCGCAATCTCGGCTCACTGCAACCTCTGCCTCCTGGGTTCAAGTGACTCTCCTGCCTCAGCCTCCTGAATAGCTGGAATTATAGGTGCCCGCCATCACACCTGGCTAATTTTTTGTATTTTTAGTAGAGACAGGGTTTCACCACTTTGGTCAGGCTAGTCTTGAACTCCTGACCTCTGGTGATACACCTGCCTCGGCCTCCCAAAGTGCTGGGATTACAGGTGTAAGCCACTGTGCCCAGCCTGATCTGAAACATTTTAAACATTTTATGCAGCATTGGGATTTCATGATCATTGAAAGTACTCATGAATTTCTCTGTGAAACCATCTGATCTTTGTGCTTTCTATTGGATAATCTTTGACATTTCTCTCTATTTCTTCTTTGGATAACTGTGTTTAGTAATACTAAATTGTATTTTTTTCTAGGAAATTTTCTATTTTACACAGGTTTTCTAATGTATTCACACATAAATAATATAGTCTCTGAAGATTTTTTTTTTCATTTCCTTTGTGTCAATGCACAGCAAAGCTTTGGTGTGTTTTCTGATATTGTGATTCTGTTTTTGTCTTTTAACTTCCACTCCTGTTTCCTTCTTGCTTTTCACTGCCAATCTTCTAAGTGATGCCTTCCTTTTCTAACTCACACCACTTTCCCCCAGAGGCAGTGCCTTCTTAAGTGGTGTCATATCTAGTCCCAATTTTAATCACTTCCTTTCAACTCTCCAGTAGCTGACACTCTGCTCTATCATGTGTGTTCTCAATAGATCAGCTTTTAGGGTGGAACTTTCTCTCTCTGGGGTGACTGATTTATGTTCCGTCACCTCTCTGACCCTCTCCCCTTTTTTATTCTCCATAATATTAGCCTCACTCTACTCTGATGTGGTCATGAAATTGGCTCTACTACATTCTGGTATGTATTTCTCAAATTATGCAAAATGTTACTTTGGGCCTTTGTCTCCTGGTTATTCCCTATGTGAAAATTAAGCTTATTTAATTTATTCTCCTTGTTTATGTGTTTGGCTTACTTGCAGGATGTGTAGAGAAATCCACTTCGACAGTCACTATTATATTATCAGGTGCTGTTTATGAAGTGATGTTTCTAACCTCTTTAAGAATCATGATAACTTTCTCCCACATAAAAGACTGTTAAACCTTTTTCTTCTGAAGAAAAAGAAGAAAGAGTACAAATGAGATATTTGCATTTCGCTCACCTCTACACCCTTTTATATTTCTTGGAGAACATATTTTTCAATGGATATATTGTTTTTGTAATGTGTGAACATTTCTACTGTACTGAGGTTATGGCTTCTTCTTTTGAGAGATGAAATGCTCTCTGGGTCTTCTTTATTAGGCCTGCAAATCCCTTTGATATAACTGGAATTGAATAGATTGCAAAACAGATGACAAATGGGGCACAGGTCAATGTTAATAGAACAATCTTTCTCTAAAATGAATGAGAACAGGAAAAATAAATGGTATGACTTATTCAGAATTATTATGGATGGAATTCTATAATTAAACTATGAGAGAGAGAGAGCATACGGTGTTTGCCCTGAATTTTGAAAACTTTTGAAACTTTACAACTGCAATCTCATTTCTTTTGACTATATTTTTGGTATATACATTAAAGTACATGATGCAGTTTGCTAGATAATGTAAAAACAACATATTTCAGTAAGTTCCAAGTAACTTCAAAGGAAGTTAATAACTGAAATAAGAAATATAAGACAAAAATGACTATAATTAGATTAAAGGACAAACATGATTATAAGCAGAAGGTGAAAGCTGTGCCAAATCAATACAATTTCAGCTTAGACTTTACATATTAGCCTAGAGAGACTGGATGACAACTTAAATGGGTTCTAGATGGGTGACGGAAAAAGAGTCAACTTGGTTGTTGGTAGAATGTTGGCATTCCCAACAATCTTGGTATGTTTAGTGAAAGTAAAAGATAATACTAATGATTTCAAATTGTCTTTTGAATTATTTTCAACTTATAGGCAATGTTTTCTGGATCATTCAAAGACAAACCGTCTTATCCATAAATAAGTTTCCATGGATGTTTTTTAGTTTAATGGGTGAAAAATAGAGCCTTGCTATGTATCAGACTCAGCTCTTCACTAAAGAAAACCATAGTATCTGACCTCAAACCCCTCTTCTAAGCTTTCTGGAAATTTTTGTATTGGGAGCTCTTCGAAACTATCTATATTCTTCAAAGACCCGAAGAGCAGCATACCACTCAAAGATAGAGTTATCCTTCATAACGTAAACTTTCTATAATATTTACAGAGACATCTTCAGTCATTAAGACTGATGTATGTGACATGATTAAAAAGGCAGAAAGAAAACTTTAAATACCTACAACTAGCTGCCATTAATGCTTAATAAGTTTTTTTAATGCTTTCATGTTTATTTCAAATGGAAATGGAAATGGCTAAAGTAGCACATTAATCTGTTATCAGTAATTTATTTCTATAAATAAAGGTTTAAAAATTTAATGGTAGAGAGATGAAAACACCAGGGTCCTGGGGGATGGGAAGAAAGAAGTATTAGAAGCTGATAACATTTCATGTGTTTCGTGAAGGTTGGAGAGCTCTCAGACAAAGCCTGCCATTTAGTTTAGATCAAAATATCTAGACAAAAAATAAAATGTTGTTAGTCATCCAGTTGTTTTGACATTACATAGGCCATATAGCATTATGAAAAAAGCATGAGTATTACTTTTCTCCTAGATATTTCTCAGTGTATAAACATAGCCATAAACATAATAGTTTTTACCAAAGGTAGCTGGAATATGTCAATGTCATTAATTCAAGTTTTTAAAATATAGAAATTAAGAGCAAGTTGATATTGTAAGTTATGAGCACACTGATCACACACATCTAATTTGGGTCCCACAGCCCCACTAAATTATAACAAATCTTTTAAAGACGTTTTGTGGAATATGTTAAGCCACAGATAGAAAGAGAGGAGGACAAACAATAGAATCTTAGAAGCTAGAAAGCAAATAGAATCTTAGAAGCTAGAAAGCAAATACAATCTTAGAAGCTAGAAAGCTAATAAAAGAGGAAAAGCTGAATTAACAAAATGGAGAAGACAGTTCCATTCTTTTCTGCTAGGTAAGCAGAGGGGAAAGCTCAAACCAATATATATTTTTTTCCTGAATAATTGTCAAAAAGCTCAGAAAATACCAATCCCAAATATCTCTGAAAATTGGGGCAGGCAGGACACTAATATAAAGATGATGTAGGTAAAGGATATTTGTGTGAGAGTCCTGAATCCCTCCCAGACTTTTCACCTCCGGATGAGTTCTTCCCTCCTACACTAGCAGAGTTACAAAATGTTATTTCCTAAACAGAGGATAAAGTCTTTGTCCTGGAGATCTATAGAAACAGTAAAAGCCACTGGTTTCTTAATGAAAATAGGGCCATCAAATGACCTCATACATACTCAGTGCTGCATCTTGGTTCTCTCTCCTCTTCTCAACTCCCAGAATGCTGGCAGCCAAAACTTTATACTTCACACAAAGGATAAATCTCAGGAAAAATTCACATCTCTGGAGGAAATACTTAAAGATACTGGTGTTGAGCACTTTCTCCCCAAAATATTTTCAGACATACAAGTTTCAAGGAATATCTCTCATGCACCCTTTGCCAATGGAGGTGCCAGGAGATATACTGCAACAAAATAAGGCAATAAACTAAGAGAAAGTGGGCCCCAAAATACAAGAACCAGAGAACTGAAAAAGCAGAGTGTCAAATCAAATCCCTAGAATAACACAAAAGGAAAGCTCAGGGTGATAACCTATGTATCAGACATGGAGGGCAAACAGTTCAACTTGGGGCAGTCTGACTCAAAGGGCATGTACACTGAGGCTACCATCAGAAGGCCTTTTTCTGTGATAGCATTTTATGATCTGACAAAATTATTGGGGCATATATTTCAGCAAAATTGGAGAATAAATGAAGAAAGAAAAAAAAACAAGAGATAAATAATCCAGGGAATCCAGCCTAGAGGAAAAGCAGAGAGAATTCCAAGATAAATCTAAGGATGTCTCAAGATGGCAACTGGGCAGCAGATAGGAGAGTAGATGTCTCCAGGTAGGTCATGTCCAGGAAAAAATGGCAACATATGGATTGCCTAGTGTGACTGACATTGTTGAAAATTGTACTGAGAGGCTGCTGGAAGGTAGGGGAAGAATTAGCAACAGATACAAATAAAACCAAGCAGGAAAAAATTGGGTGATATTATACAATTATAGTAAAATACAACATTCAATTATGAATAACATTTTCATGGATGGAAAAATGTAGACACAGGGGTGGGATCTGGCAAGATGGCCTAATAGGAACAGCTCCAGTCTGTAGCTCCAAGTGAGACCAACACAGAAGGCAGGTGATTTCTGCATTTTCTTTTTTTTTTTTTTTTTATTATACTCTAAGTTTTAGGGTACATGTGCACATTGTGCAGGTTAGTTACATATGTATACATGTGCCATGCTGGTGCGCTGCACCCACTAACGTGTCATCTAGCATTAGGTATATCTCCCAATGCTATCCCTCCCCCCTCCCCCGACCCCACCACAGTCCCCAGAGTGTGATATTCCCCTTCCTGTGTCCATGTGATCTCATTGTTCAATTCCCACCTATGAGTGAGAATATGCGGTGTTTGGTTTTTTGTTCTTGTGATAGTTTACTGAGAATGATGGTTTCCAATTTCATCCATGTCCCTACAAAGGACATGAACTCATCATTTTTTATGGCTGCATAGTATTCCATAGTGTATATGTGCCACATTTTCTTAATCCAGTCTATCATTGTTGGACATTTGGGTTGGTTCCAAGTCTTTGCTATTGTGAATAGTGCCGCAATAAACATACGTGTGCATGTGTCTTTATAGCAGCATGATTTATAATCCTTTGGGTATATACCCAGTAATGGGATGGCTGGGTCAAATGGTATTTCTAGTTCTAGATCCCTGAGGAATCGCCACACTGACTTCCACAATGGTTGAACTAGTTTACAGTCCCACCAACAGTGTAAAAGTGTTCCTATTTCTCCACATCCTCTCCAGCACCTGTTGTTTCCTGACTTTTTAATGATTGCCATTCTAACTGGTGTGAGATGATATCTCATAGTGGTTTTGATTTGCATTTCTCTGATGGCCAGTGATGATGAGCATTTCTTCATGTGTTTTTTGGCTGCATAAATGTCTTCTTTTGAGAAGTGTATGTTCATGTCCTTCGCCCACTTTTTGATGGGGTTGTTTGTTTTTTTCTTGTAAATTTGTTTGAGTTCATTGTAGATTCTGGATATTAGCCCTTTGTCAGATGAGTAGGTTGCGAAAATTTTCTCCCATGTTGTAGGTTGCCTGTTCACTCTGATGGTAGTTTCTTTTGCTGTGCAGAAGCTCTTGAGTTTAATTAGATCCCATTTCAGGAAATACAGAGAACGCCACAAAGATACTCCTCGAGAAGAGCAACTCCAAGACACATAATTGTCAGATTCACCAAAGTTGAAATGAAGGAAAAAATGTTAAGGGCAGCCAGAGAGAAAGGTCGGGTTACCCTCAAAGGAAAGCCCATCAGACTAACAGCGGATCTCTCGGCAGAAACCCTACAAGCCAGAAGAGGGTGGGGGCCAATATTCAACATTCTTAAAGAAAAGAATTTTCAACCCAGAATTTCATATCCAGCCAAACTAAGCTTCATAAGTGAAGGAGAAATAAAATACTTTATAGACAAGCAAATGCTGAGAGATTTTGTCACCAGCAGGCCTGCCCTAAAAGAGCTCCTGAAGGAAGTGCTAAACATGGAAAGGAACAACCGGTACCAGCCGCTGCAAAATCATGCCAAAATGTAAAGACCATCGAGACTAGGAAGAAACTGCATCAACTAATGAGCAAAATCACCAGCTAACATCATAATGACAGGATCAAATTCACACATAACAATATTAACTTTAAATATAAATGGACTAAATTCTGCAATTAAAAGACACAGACTGGCAAGTTGGATAAAGAGTCAAGACCCATCAGTGTGATTTCTGCATTTTCAACTGAGGTAGCCTGTTCATCTCATTGGGACTGGTTAGGCATTGGTTGCAGCCCATGGATGGCGAGCAGAAGCAGGGTGGGCGTTACCTCACCCTGGAAGTGCAAGGAGCGAGGGGCCTCCCTTTCCCAGTCAAGGGAAGCAGTAAGGGATTGTGCTATCCGGCCCAGGTACTATGTTTTTCCCATGGTCTTTGCAATCCGCAGACCAGGAGATTCCCTTCTGAGCCTACACCACCAGGGCCCTGGTTTCAAGCACAAAACTGGGTGGCTATTTGGGCAGACAATGAGCTTTCTGAAGGAATTTTTTTTTGTACCCCAGTGGTGCCTAGAATCCCAGTGAGAGAGAACCCTTCAGTCCCCAGGAAAGGGGGCTGAAGCTAGGGAGCCAAGTGGTCTTGCTCAGCAGGTTCCACTCCCACAGAGCCCAGTGAGCTAAGAACCACTGGCTTGAAATTCTTGCTCCCAGCACAGCAGTCTGAAGTCGAACTGGGATGGCTGAGCTTGGTGGGGAGAGGGGCATCTGCCATTACTGAGGCTTGAGTAGGCGGTATTTCCCTGACAGCGCTAAGGAGGCCTGGAAGTTCAGACTGTGCGGAACTCAGCACAGTCCGGCAAAGCAACTGTGGCCAGAATGCCTCTCTAGATTCCTCTTCACTGGGCAGGGCATCTCTGAAAGGCAGCAGCCCCAGTTAGGGGCTTATAAGTAAAACTCCCATATCCCTGAGACAGTGCACCTCAGGGAAGGGGCAGCTGTGGCACAGCTTCAGAGGACTTAAATGTTACTGCCAGCCAACTCTGAAGAGAGCAGCAGATCCTGACAAAGAGGGTTCTCCCATCACAGAGCTTGAGCTCCGCTAAGGTACAGACCGCCTCCTCAGTTGGGTCCCTGACCCCCGTGCCTCTTGACTGGGAGAGACCTCCCAACAGAGGTCGACAGACACCATATACAGGAGAACTGCGGCTGGCATCAGGCCAGTGACCCTCTGGGACGAGTCTTCCAGAGAAATAAGCAGGCTAAGTTCTGCAGCCTCCACTGGTGATAACCGGGCAAATAGGGTCTCTAGTGGAGCTCCAGCAAACTGAAGCAGACCTGCAGAAGAGAGGCCTGACTGTTAGAAGAAAAACTGACAAACAGAAAGTGATAACATCAATATCAACAAAAAGGACCCCCACACAGAAATCCCATCCAAAGGTCTTCAGCCTCAAAAATCCAAGTTAGATAAATCCATGAAGATAAGGAAAAAAAAAAAAAAGTAAAAACAGCACAAAAATGCTGAAAATTCCAGAAACCAGAATGCCTCTTCTCCTCCAAATGATCGCAACTCCTCTCTAGCAAATGCACAAAACTGGACAGGGAATGAGTTTGACGAACTGACAGAAGTAGGCTTCAGAAGGTAGGTAATTACAAACTCCTCTGAGCTAAAGGAGGATGATCTAAACCAATGCAAAGAAGTTAAGAACCTTGACAAAAAATTACAGAAACTGCTAACTAGAATAATAAGTTTAAAGAAGAACATAAATGACCTGATGGAGCTGAAAAACACAGCACAAGAACTTCGTGAAGCATACACAAGTATCAATAGCCGAATTGACCAAGCAGAAGAAAGGATATCAGAGATTGAAGGTCAACTTACTGAAATAAGGCTGAAATAAGGTGTGAAAACAAGATAGGAGAAAAAAAAAATGAAAATGAATGAATAAAGCCTACAAGAAATATAGGACTATGTGAAAAAATCAAACTTACATTTGATTGGGGTACCTGAAGGTGATGGGGTGAATGGAACCAAGTTGGCAAACACAATTCGGGATATTATCCAGGAGAACTTCCCCAATTTAGCAAGACAGGCCAACATTCAAATTCAGGAAATACAGAGAACACCACAAAGATACTCCTTAAGAAGAGCAACCCCAAGACACATAATCATCAGCTTCACTAAGGTTGAAATGAAGGAAAAAATGGTAAGCACAGCCAGAGAGAAAGGTCAGGTTACCCACAAAAGGAAGTCCATCAGACTAACAGTGGATCTCTCTGCAGAGACCCTACAAGCCAGAAGAGAGCGGGGGCCAATATTCAACATTCTTAAAGAAAACACTTTTCAATGCAGAATTTCATATCCAGCCAAACTAAGCTTCATGAGTGGAGAAATAAAATCCTTTATAGACAAGCAAATGTTTAGGGACTTTGTCACCACCAGGCCTGCCTTACAAGAGCTCCTGAAGGAAGCACTAAATATGGAAAGGAAAAACCAGTACCAGCCACTGCAAAAACATACCAAAATGTAAAGACCATCCACACGATGAAGAAACTGCATCAATTAATGTGCAAAATAACCAGCTAGCACCATAATGACAGGATCAAATTCACACATAACAATATTAACCTTAAATGTAAGTGGGCTAAATGCCCTAATTAAAAGACACAGACTGGCAAAAAGATTTAAGACCCACCAGTGTGCTGTATTCAGGAGACTCATCTTATGGGCAAACACACACATAGACTCAAAATAAAGGGATGGAGGAATATTTACCAAGCAAATGGAAAGAAAAAAAAAAGGAGGGGTTGCAATCCTAGACTCTGATAAAACAGACTTGAAACAAACAAAGATCAAATAAGACAAAGAAGGGCATTACATAATGATAAAGGGATCAATGCAACAAGAAGAGCTAACGATCCTAAATATATATGCACCCAATACAGGAGCATCCAGATTTATAAAGCAAGTTCTTAGAGACCTATAAAAAGACCTAGACTCCCACACAATAATAATGGGCAATTTTAACATCCCACTGCCAATATTAACAGAACAACGAGACAGAAAATTAACAAGGATATTGAGGACTTGAACTCAGCTCTGGACCAAGTGGACCTAATAGACAGCTACAGAACTCTCCACTCCAAATCAACAAAATATACATTCTTCTCAGTACCACATAGGACTTATTCTAAAATCAACCACATAACTGGAAGTAAAACACTCCTCAGCAAATGCAAAAGAACAAAAATCATAACAGTCTCTCTGACACAGTGCAATCAAATTAGAACTCAGGATTAAGAAACTCACTCAACACCACACAACCACATGGAAACTGAACAACCTGCTCCTGAATGGATTACTGGGCAAATTTCAAAATAAAGGCAGAAATAATGAAGTTCTTTGAAACAAATGAGAACAAAGAGACAATGTACCAGAATCTCTGTGACACAGCTAAAACAGTGTTAGGAGGGAAGTTTATAGCACTAAATGCCCACATTAGAAAGCGGGAAAGATCTAAAATTGACACTCTCACATCACAAATAAAAGAACTAGAGAAACAAGAGCAAACAAATTCAAAACTAGCAGAAGACAAGAAATAACTAACATCAGAGCAGAACTGGAGATAGAGCCATGAAAAACCCTTCCAAAAAAACAATGAATCTAGGAGCTGTTTTTTTTTTTTAAAGATTAACAAAATAGATAGACCACTAGCTAAACAAAGAGAGATGAAAAGAGAGAAGAATCAAATAGACACAATAAAAAATGATAAACAGGATATCACACTGATCTCATAGAAATACAAACTATCACCAGAGAATACCATAAACACTTCTACACAAAGAAACTCTAGAAGAAATGAATAAATTCCTGGACACATACACCCTCCAAAGATAAACAAGGAAGAAGTTGAGTCCCTGAACAGACCAAAACAAGTTCTGAAATTGAGGCAGTAATTAATAGCCTACCAAGTAAAAAAAGCCCAGGACCAGACAGATTCACAGTGAAATTCTACAAGAGGTCCATATAGGATTTGATACCATTCTTCTGAAACTATTTCAAACAATAGAAAAAGATGGACTCCGCCCTAACTCATCTTATAAAGCCAACATCATCCTGATACCAAAACATGGCAGACACATAAGCAAAAAAAGAAACTTTCAGGCCAATATCCCTGAAGAACATTGATGCAAAAATCTTCAATAAAATACCAGCAAAACAAATCCAGCAGCACATCAAAAATCATATCCACAATGATCAAGTTGATTTCATCCCTGGGATGCAAGTCTGGTTCAACATACACCTATCAATAAATGTGATCCATCACATAAACAGAACAAATGACAAAATCCACATGATTATCTCAATAGATGCAGAAAAGGCCTTCAATAAAATTCAACACCACTTCATGCTAAAAACTCTCAACAAACTAGGTGTTGATGGAACATATCTCAGAACAATGACAACTATTTATGGCAAACCCATAGCCAATATCATATTGGAAGCATTCCCTTTGAAAAAGGGAGAAAAGCTGGAAGCATTCCCTTTGAAAATTGGCACAAGACAAGGGTGCCCTCTCTAACCACTCCTGTTCAACATAGTATTGGAAGTTCTGGTCAGGGCAATCAAGCAAGATAAAGAAATAAACAGTATTAAAATAGAAAGAGAGGAAGTCAAATTGTCCCTGTTTGCAGATGACATGATTGTATATTTAGAAAACCCCATCGTCTCAGCCCCAAAACTCCTTATACTGGTAAACAACTTCAACAAAGCCTCAGGATACAAAATCAATGTGCAAAATCACAAGCATTCCTATACACCAATAATAGACAAGCAGAGAGCCAAATCACAAGTGAACTCCCATTCGCAATTGCTACAAAGAAAATAAAATACCTAGGAATACAACTTACAAGGGATGTAAAGGAATTCTTCAAGGGGAACTACAAACCACTGCTGAAGGAAATAAGAGAGGACACAAACAAATGGAAAAACATTACATGCTCATGGATAGGAAGAATCAACATCATGAAAATGGCCATATTGCCCAAAGTAATTTACATATTCAATGCTATTCCCATCAAGTTACCATTGACTTTCTTCATAGAATTAGAAAAAAAAACTACTTTAAGTTTCATATGGAACCAAAAAAGAGCCTGTATAGTCAAGACAATCCTAAGCAAAAAGAACAAAACTAGAGGCAGCATGCTACCTGATTTCAAACTATACTACAAGGCTACAGTAACCAAAACAGCATGGTACTGGTACCAAAACAAATATATAGACCAATGAATCAGAACAGAGCCCTCAGAAATAACATCACATATCTACAACCATCTGCTCTTTGACAAACCTGACAAAAGCAATGGAAAAAGGATTCCCTGTTTAATAAATGACTCTGGGAAAACTGACTAGCCATATGCGGAAAACAGAAACTGGACCTGTTCCTTACACCTTATACAAAAATTAACTCAAGATGGATTAAAGACTTAAACATAAAACATAAAACCATAAAAGCCCTAGAAGAAAACCTAGGCAATACCATTCAAGACATAGGCATGGGCAAAGACTTCATGGCTAAAATACCAAAAGCAATTGCAACAAAAGCCGAAATTGACAAATGGGATCTAATTAGACTAAAGAGCTTCTGCTCAGCAAAAGAAACTATCATCAGAGTGAACAGCCAACCTACAGAATGGGAGAAAATGTTTGCAATTTATCCATCTGACAAAAGGGTGATATCCAGAATCTACAAGGAACTTAAACAAATTTATGAGAAAAAAACAAACTGCCCCATCAAAAACTGGGCAAAGGATATGAACAGGAGCTTCTCAAAAGAAGACGTTTATGTGGCTAACAAACATGAAAAAAAGCACATAACCACTGGTCATTAGAGGAATGCGAATCATAACCACAATGAGATACCATCTCACACCAGTTAGAATGACAATCATTAAAAAGTCTGGAAACAGCAGATGCTGGAGAGGATGTGAAGAAATAGGAACAGTTTTACACTGTTGGTGGGAGTGTAAATTAGTTCAACCATTATGTAAGACAGTGTGGTGATTCCTCAAGGATCTAGAACCAGAAATACCATTTAACCCAGCAATCCAATTACTGAGCATATACGCAAAACATTATAAATCATTCTACTATAAAGACACATGCATACGTATGTTTATTGCAGCACTATTTACAATAGCAAAGACTTGGAACCAACCCAAATGCCCATGAATGATTGACTGAATGAAGAAAATGTGGCATATATACACCATGGAATACTATGCAGCCATAAAAAAGAATGAGTTCATGTCCTTTGACAGGATATGGATGAAGCAGGAAACCATCATTCTCCACAAACTATCACAGGAACAGAAAACCAAACACCACATATTCTCCCTCATAGTGGGAGCTGAACAATGAGAACACCTGGACACAGGGAGGGGAACATCACATACTGGAGCCAGTTGGGGGTTGTAGGGTAAGGGGAGGGATAGCATTAGGATGAATACCTAGAGCATGCGGGACTTAAAACCTGGATGATGGCTTGATAGATGCAGCAAACCACCATGCCACATGTATACCTATGTAACAAACTAGCATGTTCAGCACATGTATCCCAGAACTTAATGTAAATTTTTTTTAAAAATTTAAAAAACAATGTAGACATTGAATAATAATTAACACAAACATACTTATTGTTAGAGTGAAGGAAGAATATCTGAGGGGATGGCAATGCTTGCAAATTCTATTACCAAAAATTAAAACATGAGCAATTAAAAATCCTTGCTGTGACTTAGATTTGTCATTATTGTTATTGTAAGTATTATGTTCTTTTCAAGAGAATTCTGACTATTTTTGTTTATTGCCTTTACAATCAGCCTCTTCATATCTGTAGCAACACTAAAAGAAAGTTGCAGTATATTGATGAGCTTTGGTATGATTCTGACTTAATAGTAAAGGACCAACATTCTGAGACTAGTGGTTCAATCTTAAATATACTTATTCATTTAACATATATTGAGTGCTCGTTCCTGTTCTACATATTAGATAGGAAAGAAAACAATTATCCTGTTCTCAAGAAGCTTGTATTCCAGTGAAGAGAAAGCAAACTATAAGCCTAAGTTGAATGCTGATAACTGCCATGAAGAGAAAAAGCAGGATAAAGATAAATAAAAAAATGGAGGATGTTGATTATCAAATTACACTGAGTAAAGCAAACATACACAGCCTGATAAATGATCATTGATCATCAAAATAATCATGTGTTTAAATAAATGTATACAGTGTCTCAAAATGAGATTCGGCAGGTAAGTGTTTTCTTTATAATACATGATATGCAAATATAAGATGAACTTTTCAAGGTGAGAAACTTTTTCCCTATCTGTGTTAGTTTATGAGGGCTGCCATAACAAAATATCATAGGCTGTATAGCTTAAGAAACAGAAATTTATTTCTCATGATTTTGGAGGCTGGAAGTTTGAAATCAAAGTGCCTTCATAGCTGGTTCCTTCTGAGGGCCGTGAGGAGAAGATCTCTCCCAGCCTTCTCTCCTTGGCCTGTGGATAGTCATGTTCTGTGTGTGCGTGTCCTCACATCATCTTCCCTCTGTACATTTCTGTCTTTGTGTCCAAATTTTCCATTTTATAAGGACACCAGTCATACTAAATTAGGGTATGCCCAGTGATTTTGTTTCAGTTGATAGCTCTGTAAAGTCCCTGTCTCCAAATAAGGTTACACTCTGAGATACTGGGGGTAAGGACTCCAATGTGTCTCTTTTTTGGAGAGGAAACAATTTAACTCATGATAGCATCTTAGGTCTCTCAAGGAGTCAGATCTGGAATTATTGACATTTCTCTAGGCCTAGGAAATCTCAGTGTTTCTTTAAAATCTCCCCTATAATAGTTGGTCCCTGCCAGCACATTCCACATACTTTCTGTGATGTGGGACCTTCAGGAGAACCAGCTCATCAAGGTAGAATACTATGCTACTCCTGGAACTTAGCAGCCCTCTCTTAGGGATGTGGATCTCATTTCCTGTATCAGTGATGCGAGCTAGAGTTCTACAGTGAGGAAATGCAGATCTGTGTTGCTACTGACTGCCTCATGCTAATTACCTCTGGCCACAAGGCCACAACCCTCCCAGCAGACTGGATCTTTTCAGATACTGGTGCTCAAAATCACCAACTAGCTTTGGCCATGGATATTATCAGTACTGTTCTTCCATCCTTACTTGGCCTTGATTCCAACCTCACTCAAATAGCTCAGGAAGTTGAGATTCATGAGTACCTTAGGCCTGAGTCCATGTATGTGATAGAATGCAATGCAAAAGCTACATAGAGATTCTAGATAATATTGATTTTTAAACTTTTAAAATCCAATATGGAAAAAATAGTTGATTTGTAGATACACAAAGCTTAGAAATATCTAAAGATTCTGTTTGTGTGTAATAATAATTATACTCAATATGGAGAAAATGAAAGTGATGTTTAAGAAGGAAAGCTACCTAATATGATCTAATCTTATCTAATAGTTCAAGCCGGGCTAGAATGTCCTCTTAGGTGTGGGGAAATGCCCAAGACATTCTGATTTTTCCTCCATCTGCACTGGAGAAAGTATAATATTCCTCATAGGTGAAATTATGTATTTACTTCTTATTATTTAGTTTTTATACTTAAGGTATCTTATCTTCAAGATTTTCTGGAAATGAGATTTTATAGCCTATGTTTTCTCATTTCATTTCATACCACTGTTTTGGGTTGAATTGTGCCTTCTGTACCAAATTCATATGTTGGAGACTTGAGCCCCAGTGCCTTAGAATGTAATTACATTTGTAGATAGGGCCTTTTAAAAGATAATTAAAGTTAAATAAAGTCATAAGGGTGAAGCTCAAACCCAATATCAATGTTGACCTTCTAAGAAGAGACAGATAGACCAGGGGTGTGTGTATGCTCAGAGATAAGGTCATGTGACAACACAGCAAGAAGGCTGCCATCTGCAAGCCGAAAAGAGAGGACTGAGATACCAACCCTGCTGGCACTTTGATCTCACATTTCCAGCCTCCAAAACTGTGAGAAATTCCTGTTTGTGGAGACAAAGATGATTCCATCTTGGATGATAATCTGCCACGTTGACATCTGATTAGCCCCAGTCCCATGAATGCCTTCCAATTCTTATTTTATTTACTGTCCTTAGTGTGAGAACATGTCAACCTTGATGTTATTGCACAAATTATAGGCGATGACGCACACAGCATTCTTGCCTGTTCTGGAAGGTTGCCTTTAATTGTCTCTATAGAGCACATAGATACTGGTACATACACTTTTCCTCTGTAGTTCCATGACGGCCTGCATCAGTTGAAACGTGAACTGAAGCAGATGATTTCTTCTGGGTCTGGGGAGTAATAGTGTAGAGCTCTAGCTATCTTGTGGCCACCCAAGACCACGCCCCAAGAACCACGTCTGTAAGTTCCTCCAATAAACCACCCTTTGCCAACAAACTGGATTTGTTTGCCTAACTCTAACTTTAACTCTAAGCTTTATATACTTTTATGAATAAAATGTAGCCTCAGTTCTCAGAAATTCAGAATCCAGTGAGAATGGCATATCCAAGGAGCTAAGTGCCATAGGTTGCTATAGGACTGCATTGGAGAATTAATTTACTCATTCTTGGGTGGTAAAGGAAAGTTTCCATGAAAATTTAACTATGAAACGCATTCCTAAAGGATAATTGGAAGCTAAGCAAGGAAATCTGTGGGAAGACTTTACGGTTTCAGATGTTACTCTATGTTGGCAGGAGTAAGGGGAGCTATATGTATTCTAGCACTGTAAAAATGTGGAGTGAGAGGGAATGGCTACAGAGAGTTAGCTGTGACAGATGAGTCTAGAGAGAAAAGCCGAACACAGACAGTGAACTATGGCAATGTTATGATGAGTTTAGACTCTCTTCTATGGGTAGACACCAAGGAGAATAGCAGTAGAATGACAAAATTAGATTTTCACATGAAACTTGATGACAGTGTAGGAAATGGACTGAAAGGACAAGACTAGAGGCAAAGAGATCACTTAGAATATTGCTATAGTTACTCAGTGATGGATGCTGGTGATCTGAGCTAAGGGAATAGAAGTGAAGATGGAGAGAAATGGACGGATACTGAGAAGACAGAACTGTCAGAACTTGGTGTGAAAAGTCGTGGCTCAAAAGGAAAGGGAGGTGATAAGGGAAAACACATAGGCACAGACAGATTCCTGGCTTCAGAATCAATATCTGTGGATACAATTTTCTTCTTAAGACTTAATTGAAAACTATTAAGACTGATGATGGAAAACCCAAGGCTTTGATGTATTTAGCTGAAAATAGTAAATAGCCTAACAGTGTAAGATAATGGCATTGAGAAATTAGTATTGTCCATAAATATGCTTGTGAAGATAGCACTTACATAAATTACACCTTAGTTAGGTTGCTTTTATTCATTCTTCCAAGTCAATTCAGCTCTGAGTATGGGGATAGGAGAATGTTTGAATGCCCAGAAACAATTTCCATGAGATATCATTTGAAAGAAATAAATGATGACATAGTTGTTTCCAACTATGTCAGGAATTGTGTCAGGAATTATGTAAGGAAACATCACGTAGAATCAAAAGCAACTGATTTATGTATGCTTCAGTAGATAAAAGAGTTATTTTAGCTCTCGTTTCATAAATGTCATTGATTCCTTGGTTAAACATTCTGAGTGATATTATGTAGTCTTTTTCTGAAATTTAATGGCAATCAATAATTTCTTTATCATGAATTTCACACTCAGGCACCAAAACTGACTGCTTAGAAGCATCTTTGATTAACTACTTCATGTTCCTCACTTCCTCACTACTCCACCTGTCCTTTCACATAACAATAAGACTGTTCCTTCAAAACACCATCACATTACAATTTTCACAACACTAGGCCTTTTCTGGTAATTCTCCCCTTCTCCTGAATTGCCTTTTCCTGCCGTGCCTCCCACCTTAGTGCCATTGGGTCTCCCCTTAAATGTCCCCACTTCTTCCTTTTGTGTCACACAGGTCAGAATGAAGCACATCATCCTCTGGGCTCCCATAACAGGGTGTGTTTGTGTGACCATTTTATAAGCTTGATATCATTGTTTCCTATTTGCTTACAGATCTGTCTCTTCTTCTTGACCTGACATGCCTGAGCCAAAAACCACAACTTATTCATTGTGGTATCCTTAACCCATAGTGGCTGTGCTATGGGTCTGGCATGCAATTAATGATCACCAAATGTTTGTAAATGAATTAGTGTGAGATTGTTGCCTAGCATTCTTATTGGAAGACCAACATTATGTTGTATAATCTGTGCAATATATTCACTGGCAATTTAAAAATAATATTCAGAATGTGTAATGATATCTTTAAAAATAATGACAAAGCTTGGCTTTTACAAATAAATGTGACAGAGTAGCTATTTTAGGACATCATTCTCATAGTTAAAGCTGCCCAGCTAGGACTATAACTTTATAGCCTTCTAATTGAGAGACAGGCTTAGTCACTAGCTCTCTTATTATTCCAGTTTTCAATTTAGGGAAGTTAACATTAACTGGTCAACCATTAATCCTTTTGATGGGAAATTTTGGTACAGATGAGGTATTCTCCCAAGAAGGGCAAGAGCAAACCTTATCTCTTCTGTGCTGATAATGATTTTTCTTGTTAAGTTCAGAATGGTTGCAGAGTAATTGGATGTAATTATTTGCTAATTTAATTTAAGCAAACCACTTATCTGATTCATCATTAGCATAATAGAGTTTCCCCACAGCTCTGAAGAAATTGAACTAAATAGGGAGAAAGGTGTTCTTAGAAGATGGCATCAGAGGCAATGGATTGTAAGGGAGCAGAAAATTACACATGCTGATTAAATTACCTTCTCTTAAAAAACATCAGGGCCGGGCGCGGTGGCTCACGCCTGTAATCCCAGCACTTTGGGAGGCCGAGGCGGGCGGATCACGAGGTCAGGAGATCGAGACCATCCTGGCTAACACGGTGAAACCCCGTCTCTACTAAAAATACAAAAAAAATTAGCCGGGCGAGGTGGCGGGCGCCTGTAGTCCCAGCTACTCGGGAGGCTGAGGCAGGAGAATGGCGTGAACCCCAGGGGGCGGAGCCTGCAGTGAGCCGAGATTGCGCCACTGCACTCCAGCCTGGGCGACAGCGAGACTCCGTCTCAAAAAAAAAAAAAAAAAAAAAAAAAAACATCAGTAGGTAAAATGCTTTGTGGTGGCAACTGCCTGTTAGAAAGGGCAGCAGAGACAAGAGAATGTAGTATCTCCAGAAATTAAAGGAAAGGAAATGTTAAGAACAAGTACAGCAACTCTAAGACTGAAAGATAGATGGGTGGGAATGAATTGATTCTCAGACATGTTTTGAGCAGACTGGGAGTATTGTTCTCCAACTTAAGTAAAAGTTGATTACTACATGCTACTATGAAAGTTAAAGTCCAGGTAAGAAAGCATTATAGGAAGACATTTTGGATTACATATTTTTTTGGAAAATATATATGAGGTCTAGTAAAGATGTGTCTTTGCTGCTCCCTTTCCACATCTCCTTGTTTTTTCACATCAGGAGGCTCTCCCTTATTCCAAAGCTTAAACTCTCCTGAGCACTGTGTTGGAAGTGGTTGCTGGATTCCATGATTTGTTTCCTAGTGAAAAGGCCACTTTGGGAGGAAGCGGCACAGACATAGCCTCGACGGCATGATTTCTGGGTCATGGGCAAGCTATCTTCATCAAAACAATTTATTCTTCCTGAGGTTGATTTTTGGTGGCGTTCTTATTTCTTACCTTTGGGGAAAAAATAAAACAAAAATAATAAATAACCCCCAAGAGAGAAAATGTCCTTAACATTTTTTTCCAAGTCCCTCAAAATGAAGAAAATAATTGTGGAGGGCAGAGGCGGGAAAGGAAAGTGGGCTTCAGAATACAAAGATGGGATGGTGAAAGCAGAGGAATCAGCAGACATAGACATTGGCCAGCACCCCTGGGAACCTGCAAGGTGATACTGGATATTGACTGGCTAAAGTCAGAGTGCTCCTCAAGAATCATATGGCAAAAGAATATCAATGGATCAAATAACAATCGATTGACCTAGACACTGAAAAACAAGGCAGGGTGGATGCTAGGAAATTAAGACCAAAAAGAAGAAATAAAAGGTAGGAATAAAAGAAACTATCCTTTATTGAGTCCCTAGAATAAGTCATCCATGTATTTTATAAATTAAGTTCCCAATTGCCCAGTGAGGCATAACTGTTATTAATATACCTGTTTTATATAAGGAAACTGCTTTTTAAAGAGGTTAAGTAAATTTTCCCAGGGCAAAAGGCAAATAAGATTCAGAACCAGGATTCAAACCTAAATTGGCCTGACTTTAAAGCCAAATGATTTATATTATAAAGTTTTCTGAAGTAATTGGGCTACAAATTTCCAAGTGGGAAAAAAGCCAACAATGGGGCTTAACCCATCTCAGGCCTGCAGGTACAAATGGGCACATTTCACTAGAGGAAAAGAAAGGAGTAAGCGGATTTTTCCAGTTATGGTCTATGAACAATGATACATTAGATCAGGTGCTGGCAGGAGATAAAACAGCATGAAGACATTTACCAAGTGAGAAGGGGGAAGATGTAAAAGAAACACAGACAACCTACTTAAAAAAAAAAACTGACCATTTTTCCCTAAAAGTGACCCCAAATTAGACTTAAATATAGGCTTATCCCAGATATGGATCCAGAAATACTTATATCAAAATATAAATATGGGAAACTCTTCATTTTTATATTTAATACAATCATTGCTAATGATTCTAATGAGAATACATTTAGGAATAAAATGTGTTTTGTGATTTCTGGAAGAGAGGTCTTATAAGGAAGGACTTTGCTCAGTGTTAATGCAGTTGATATTCAGAACTCAAACAAATGAAACCGTGATGGGACCTGGAGGAGTTCTAATGTCAAGACAGTTATTTGCTGTCTTTTTGGCTGAGTAAGGACTACCTTCTGCATTTTTTCTCAGAGAGCTCAGGCTGGTGCTTCGCCGTAAGCCAGCATTATGTTAAATGTTGTCTTCACTTAATATACTCCAGAAGAACCTGTGTATTGAGATTCACAGCCTTCTACAGCCTGCGCTGTTGACCTATGGTCATGTTTGGATCCTGATCCGACACACACTTCTGAATAGTTAATCAAATCATTTTCCCCCTGGGCAACTTCTGTTTAGTGAGCAACTGTAAAAGTGTCTCATTGCTTAATTTATTATCTCTGAGTTAAAATTGCAGTGAATGCATTGAAAAAGATAACCAATTAGAAAGTTTTTCTACAAAATTTTATATTCAAACCAATTAATTTTAATTTTTATTATGTATCAAATTATAACAAAAGCCATTTTACTTTTCTTTAGCCTTCTAATAGTTATACACTCTTGATAATTAGGCTATTCCCATTAAGTGAATATACTTATAATGAACAATAAATTTATGTAAGGACACAAATAGCTACCCACAAATGACTTTATTCCTAAATTTAGATTTGTTTCCTGTGAAACATATTTTAATATGTTTTCTTCAATTTTTGCTTTTAGCCTCAGTTTTACAGAGCATTAATACTTTAGGGAATAGTGTGAATGAGAATCCATTTATACTTCTCCTTTCACTGTCTGCTTTAATGGCATAATGGTTTACACTGCTTTAATGGTTTACAAAGGTTCAGCCTAAAAGCAACAGGGTACCTTGGCCACTTCCCTAAATCTTATGTCTTCTTACACCCAACACTCATACCACTTTTTTTCTGTGACCCTGTTCACTCGGTCAGTTCTCTCCCGATATGGCTTTATAGGGCTATGACAATACAAATTTAAGCCCCAAAAAGCTGGTGATGCTGACACTCTCTATAAAAATGTGAAAGGGAGTGGAGATTTTTACTTCCAACCATGATAGAATAACTGATATAGTACTTGTTCTTGCACCATAAACCATTAGAAACCTGATGAATATAAATAGCACAAATTGTCTGTACAAATTGAATGAGAAGCAGAGTAGAACATGGATTTCTTGAAAGAAGAAGACAAAAGCTATAGGAGCAATGATTGCCACATAATTCTGTCTGAAGAAACTTTTCAAGTTGTGGTGCACAGACGGGGAACCCAAGCAGGACACGGCAGGCACACTGCATTAGGTAGGAAAAGAGAAGATTCAGGCAGGCTCAGATGGCAGGAATTTGTACAGCTGAGTATTGAAGAGGAGAGAGATACAAAGAGGGTTTCAGAAATACACATGGAGTCAGATGCTGAATACTAATCCATGCTTACCTAGGGTGAAAATCTAGGATGCAAGGTAAATAATGATGGGGCATTTTCATCTGAATAATTCCCTGAGTTCTCACAGTTCATTCTAACCAACCAAAGTGGAGACTTCTCACTGAAAACCCAGATCATTCAGTGGAGACCACAGATAATAAAAGATTAAATAACGGATAATAAAAGTGAAAAATAAGGCTTAAAGAAAAAAGTTGATTCATATTTGGCTTATTACCAGAAGAAGTTGAACACTCTTTAAAGGAAGACAAAAATTCCAACATGTAAAAAATGTTCAGCATTAATTAAATATTACTAAACATGCAAAGAAACATAAAACTGTGTCCCATATCAGGAATATCAGTCAATAGAAACAGGTCCAGAAATGACAGTGATGAAGGAATTAGCAGGAAAAACCTTAAAATAGCTATTATAAATATGTTAAATTATTTTTTTAAAAATTATGAACATAACGAGGTAAAAATAGATAAAATAAAATAAAAAGAAATATTTGAAATAAAACATTAACTGGGTCTGCATATCAGCAGATTACACAGTGTAGAAGAAATGGTCATGAGCTTGTAATCATAACAAAAGTAAAATTTTCAAACTGAAATATAGTAAGAAAAAAGGCTTAAAAGATATGAGCAGAATCATAGTGAGTTCAACAGTATAATATACATGTAATTGAAGCCCAAAAAGGATGAAGGGCAATTAAATATTTGAACAACTAATGACTAAGTTTTAAAAATTAACCAAAATTATAAACCCACAGATAAATATCCTCAACAAAACTGAAGCAAGAGAAAAACAAAGAAATTCACACCAAGATACATAAAAATCATATTGCTGAAACAAATGTTAGCAAGAAAATCTTAAATACAGGAATGTCACATGACATACAAAAACCAAAGACTAGAAAATCTGAAGATTTCTCATTAGAAATAATACAAGTCAAAAGACAATGAAATGACATATTTAAAATACTTAAAGAAAAAACAAATGGAATTTTATATTCAGTGAATAAATCCTTTATAAATCAAAGCCGAGAATATATTTGAGACATAAATAAGCTGAAATAATTTGTTGCCAGCTATATTAGTCTATTTTCATACTGCAATAAAGATATTACCTAAGACTCGTTAATTTATAAAGGAAAAAGGTTTAATTGACTCACAGTTCCACATGGCTCTGGAGGCCTCATGAAGCTTACAATTGTGGTGAAAGGTGAAGGGGAAGCAAGGACCTTCTTCACATGGCAGCAGGAGAGAGAAGTGTATGTATTGGTCAGGGGAAACTGCCATTTATAAAACCATCAGATCTTGTGAGAACTCTGATATGGTTTGGCTGTGTCCCCACCCAAATCTCAGTTTGAATTGTAATAATCCCCATGTGTCAAGGGCAGAGTCAGGTGGAGATAATTGAATCATGGGGGTTGTTTCCCCCATACTGTTCCACTGATAGTGAATAAGTCTCATGTGATCTGATGGTTTTATAAATGGGAGTTCCCTGCACAAGCTCTCTTTCCCTGTGGCCGTATAAGATGCAACTTTGCTCCTCCTTTGCCTTCTGCCATGATTGTGAGGCCTCCCCAGCCACATGGAACTCTGAGCCCATTAAACCTCTTTTTATTTATAAATTACCCCATCTTGGGAATGTCTTTATTAGCAGTGTGAGAACAGGTTAATATAAACTCCCTCACTATTACGAGAGCACCATGGGGAAAACTGCCCCCATGATCCAATCACCTCCCACTAAGTCTCTCTCTCTCAAGACCTGGGGATGGCAATTCAAGATGAGATTTGGGTGGGTACACAAAACCTAACCATATCACCAGCCAAACTGCACTTAAAGTTCTTCAGAAGAAAAATAAACAAAAAGAGATGGAAACTCATTGGCTATTTTTTATAAAGATAAGCAGACACGTCACTTATGATCCAAGAATTCTACCCTTAGGAGTTAACACAAGAGAAATAAAAACATGTCCACACAAAGCCTTGAACATGAATGTTTCTAACATCTTAATCCATAATAACCAAAAACTTTATACATGCCAATTGTACCTCAAAGATGATTAGACAAACAAATTGCAGTATAACCAAACTATGGAATGAAGTATTACTCAGCAATAAAAAGGAATGGACTGCTGATACAATATTATGGGGGAATCTTTTTTTTTTTTAACTTTAAGTTCTGGGATACATGTGCAGAACATGCAGGTTTGTTACATAGGTATACATGTGCCACGGTGGTTTGCTGCACCTGTCAACCTGTCATCTAAGTTTTAAGCCCTGCATGCATTAGGTAGTTGTCCTAAGCCTTTCCCTCTTCTTGCCCCCCACCCCCTGACAGGCCCCGGTGTGTGATGTTCCCCTCCCTGTGTTCATGCATTCTCATTGCTCAACTCTCACTTATGAATCAGCACATGCAATGTTTGGTTTTCTGTTATTACGGAGGAATCTTAAAAACCAAAGCTTCCCAAACTTTCTTGGTTCATAGAGTCTGTAGTGTTTGTCATATTGTTATAGGCCTTAGACCAAAAGAAATACATTAAGCTACCTAATTTGATTAAGCATTTAAATCCAAACAATTTATAATTATTTACGTATTAACAATTCAGTAGCTGTTTAAAAGTAATATATATTAATAGAAAGAAAAATGATATTACATATTTATATTTAATAGAATTTTTATTTTATTTTTTAAAAACAGCATTTATTTCCATTTGGATTTGTGTATCAATTGAGCACCATATAACTGTCTACACAGGAATTAGATTGGACACTACCACCACCATCCTTTTCTGTTTCACATTAATTTTTGTGTATTGCTTACTTTTTATTGAAGTAATTACTGAAAATGCAGCTTCACAAAGATTTCATGTTATCAAAAGGAATGGAGCACAATTTAATGCTGAAATTGTATATTGCTTTAAGCTATGAGTCCACATAGCATTTGGCAGAAATGACTATGTTTCCCTCAAAAATCTAAAATATGTGGTGTCCTTGTGAATTTCTCCACAGTGTCCCTGCAGAGTTTTGGAACAATGATCAAAAACATTATTCTGAGTGAAAAAAAATAGCCAAAAGAGTATGTACCATATAACTCTATGTATATAAATTTCTTGAAAAGACAAAATCAACTACAGTAATAGAAAGAAATTTGTGAATTCAAAACTGTGCTTAAAATGATAATGGCCATAAAACTTCATCTGCAATAGTGATGTCCTCAGTGTCATAGTTAATTTATAGCATTCAATTAGTGATGTACTTCTAATTAGTTATGTTTCCAGTTGCATTAGACCAAATAGGAGAAAGTAGTTTTCTAGAGTAGCTTGAGAGAGTGGAGAAAAGGGTGACACATAGGGGGATTGTAAATAATGGCAGAAGTCTTCATTATTTTTAATTATGAATTGTACCACTGAGGTATGAACCTCATATCTAGCATATCTATGCTAGCCTCATATCTAGCATATCTAGCTCATATCTAGCATATCTATCATATCTAGATAATATGAAGCCAATAGGACCTTCATTTTTAAAGATGGAGACAAAACAAAGACTTTTTCCTTCCTCAATATTGCTTAGGGCTCTGCCTTGGTTGTATAAGCTTGTCAAGGGACACAATGTTAACATCAAATGCATAGCAGTATAATGTCTTTATAATGCTTCTTAAAAGCATAACATTCTTCTTTACCAAAGCATTGGATGTACACTTCAAGTAACATCTACATGTAAAATTATTAAGACATATTTTCAAAGATCATTTGGACAAATAAAAAAGTTGGAGTATGTGACTGCATTCAAATAACGAGAGACAAAAAGAGGGCAGAAAATCAATGCCAAAGGCGAGACTCAAGAGGCACATAAAGGACCAAGTTTTATGCTAATAATGTATTGAGAAAGCAAAGTTTTTTCCTAGATTAGAAACATTACCAAATAAAGGCAAGTGGGAAGAAAATGAAACAAACAAACAAAAAAACAGGAAACACCCCAGCAGGCAACACAAATAGCGATCAGGCATGCAGAGTTTAGACCTGAGAATAAAGGGGTTTTAAAGGAAGTCTGTATTAGTCTGTTTTCACACTGCTGATAAAGACATACCTGAGACTGGGTAATTTATAAAGAAAAAGAGGTTTAATGGAATCACAGTTCCATGTGACTGGGGAGGCCTCACAATCATGGTGGAAGGTGAAAGGCATATCTTACATGGTGGCAGACAAGAGAGAATGAGAACCAAGCAAAAGGTGTCTCCCCATAAAAAACGATCAGATCTCATGAGACTTATTCACTACCATGAGAACAGTATGGGGGAAACCACCCCCATGATTTAACTATCCCCCACTGTGTCCCTTTCACAACACATGGGAATTATGGGAGCTACAATTCAAGATGAAATTTGGGTGGGCACACAGCCAAACCATATCAAAATCCAAATCCATTTTCTATAATCTTCATCTTCATATTGAGAGATGACAACATGCTAGCAACGCTCACTCACTCTCAGAGCCTCCTTGGCCTCTGTGTCCACTCTGGCCACGCTTGAGGAGCCCTTCAGCCTGCCACTGCACTGTGGGAGCCCCTCTCTGGGCTGGCCGAGGCTGGAGCCGGCTCCCTCTCCTTGTGGGAAGATGTGGAGAGAGAAGCGCGGGCAGGAACCAGGGCAGTGCCTGGCGCTCCAGTGTGAGTTCCAGGTGGGTGCAGACTCAGTGGCCCCGCACTCAGAGTGGCCAGCTGGCGCTGCCAGCCCTGAGCAATGAGGGGCTTAGCACCTGGGCCAGCAGCTGCAGAAGGGGAACCAGGTCCCCCAGCACTGCCAGCCCGCCTGCACCACACTTGAATTCTCACTGGGCCTCAGCCACCTCCCAGCAAGGCAGGACTTGGGACCTGCAGCCTGCCATGCCAAAGTCCCCCCCCGCCCCCACCGTGGTGGGCTCCCGCGCAGCCCGAGCCTCCCCAACGGGCGCCGCACCCTGCTCCGCGGCACCCAGTACCATTGACCACCCAAGGGCTGAGGAGTGCAGGCATGTGGTGTGGGACTGGTGGGCAGCTGTGCCCGCAGCCCTGGTGTGGGATCTACTAGGAGAAGCCAGCTGGGCTCCTGAGTCAGGTGGGGTCTTGGAGAACTTTTATGTCTAGTTAAAGGTTTGTAAATGCACCAATCAGCACCCTGTGTCTAGCTCAAGGTTTGTAAATGCACCAATCAGTGCTCTGTGTCTAGCTAATCTAGTGGGGACTTGGAGAACTTTTATGTCTAGCTAGAGGATTGTAAATGCACCAATCAGCACTCTGTGTCTAGCTAAAGTTTTGTAAATGCACCAATCAGTGCTCAGTGTCTAGCTAATCTGGTGGGGACTTGGAGAACTTTTATGTCTAGCTAGGATTATAAATGCACCAATCAGCACTCTGTGTCTAGCTCAGGGATTGTAAACACACCAATGAGCATTCTGTGTCTACCTCAAGGTTTGTAAACGCACCAATCAGCACTCAGTCAAAATGGATCAATTAGCTCTCTGTAAAACGGACCAATCAGCTCTCTGTAAAACGGACCAATCAGCCCTCTGTAAAATGGACCAATCAGCAGGATGTGGGTGGGGTCAGATAAAAGAATAAAAGCAGGCTTTCTGAGTCAGCAGTGGCAACCTGCTCAGGTCCCCTTTCACACTGTGGAAGCACTGCTCTTTCACTCTTTGCAATAAATCTTGCTGCTGCTCACTCTTTGGGTCTGCACTGCCCTTAAAAGCTGTAACACTCACCCCGAAGGTCTGCAGCTTCACTCCTGAGGCCAGCAAGACTATGAACCCACCGGGAGGAACGAACAACTCTGGATGGGAGGAACGAACAACTCCAGACACGCCACCATAAGAGCTGTAACACTCAACATGAAGGTCTGCAGCTTCACTCCTGAAGCCAGTGAGACCATGAACCCACCGGGAGAGAAGGAAGAAACTCTGAACACGTCCAAATATCAGAAGGAGCAAACTCTGGACAGACCATCTTTAAGAACTGTAGCAGTCACCACGAGGGTCTGCAGCTTCATTCTTGAAGTCCGTGAGACCAAGAACCCACCAATTCCGGACACAATATGAATGCACATGAATAATTTCACGGACTAGAGAAAGGTTTACACTTACAGAAGAATAGTTATAAGAATTTCTTTATATTTCAGAGATATTTGTTATAAATGCATTTATTTGAAAAACAGAATTTCTGGATCATTTAACTCTCAATAGTTCTGACAACTTGATCTAAGGGCAATAACAATTCCAACTGTACTCCATTATCAAGCTAAAGACTTCAGAATCTTTTTCCAGAAAAATTAATTTACTTTCTTCTAATATATAACCTGGATTAGCAATTATGTAAATGAAGTATGAAGAATTGTGTCTTCTATTAAGATCTACAAAGCTAGAAAAATGTTACTCTGACCCTAACAATAAGAAAAAGATCAGAACACCTTCAGAATTACAACTTTTCTCATACTCATCAAAGAGCTGTAGCTTACCTGTGAAAACTAGCATGCAACCTCAGGAAAGATGGGTACCTCCAAGTAAAGACCAGATGTAATTCTTGGCTTACTAGAGAAGCAGGAGAAAAAATGGTTTCAATACCAGAAAGAAAGAAAAAAAAATTCCGTTAATGCCTTAAAAATAAATATGGGCTAGATGAAAGTATTTAAAACCTAAAAGCCACAAGCATAAACACAAGGAGAGTTCACCTTCCTCCCATCACTTTCTTATTTATGGACCTCACTTGGTGCTTTTGAAAAACATTGAGGCACAGCAGGAGAGTAAACAAAGCTTTGTGCAGAAAGGCAGCCCTGGATCAGGGAAATCAGGACAGGCATAGGGCTCCAAAGTCTTCCCTGAGGAAAAGCTTTAAGACAATGAAGGAAGGGCAGAAAGCTGCTTTTCCCAGGCCAAAGGTGAAGACAGACTGTGTTGGGGTAAATGTAAAAGAAAAAAATTCTACTTCAGAATGAGGGACAAGTTTGTTAGTCTCACCTTGACACCTTGATCTTGGACTTCCCAGCCTTAAGAACTGTGAAAAAAAAATTTCTATTGTTCATAAATTACCCAGTCTAAGGTATTTTGTTAACAGCCTGAATGGACCAAGACAAGGTGACAGTAGAAATGATTACTGAAAACAACAGAGTAAATCGATAAGCCCCAAAGCTGTTTTTTGTGGGGCGGGGGGGGGTGGGGGAAGATAAAACTCTAGCCAGACTGAAAGAGAGAGACAGAGACAGGATACAAATTATCAGTATTAGGAATAAAAGATGGATCATCAGTACTAATCATACCATCATTAAAAGGACAATGAGATAATGTTACAGTTTTATGTCCATAAATTTAATGACTCAGATACAATGGATAAATGCTTAGAAAATACAAACTACTAAAGTCATGCAAGAGGAAATTGATAACCTAAATCGTTCTATATCACTGAAATGTGAATTTGTAGTTAAAAGCCTTCCAACACTAATAACAAAAGCCCCCAGCCTAAGTGGCTTTATTTTTGAGTTCTACAAGACATTGAAGGAAGAAATATTACCAATTCTGTAAAAGTCTTCCAGAAAATAGAAGGACTCACCTCTCTACTGACATTGTGAGGCCAGTATTACCCCAAGACAAAAATCAAGCAAGAACATTACAGGAAAAGAAAAGTAAAATTTAATATTTGTCATCAACTTACACGAAAAATTTCTTTTTTTTTTTTTGAGATGGAGTCTCACTCTGTCACCCAGGCTGGAGTGCAGTGGTGCGATCTAGGCTCATTACAAGCTCCACCTCCCGGGTTCACGCCATTCTCCTTCCTCAGCCTCCCAAGTAGCTGGGACTACAAGAGACAGGCTAATTTTTTTGTATTTTTAGTAGAGATGGGTTTTCACCGTGTTAGCCAGGATGGTCTCAATCTCCTGACCTTGTGATCCACCCACCTTGGCCTCCCAAAGTGCAGGGATTACAGGCGTGAGCCACTGCACCTGGCCACGAAAAGTTTCTTGGCAACATATTTGCAAATCAAATCCAGCATAGTATTAATGTAATATAGATATATAGATATCAGTGGAAGAGAGACAATGTTTCTGAAATAGACCCATATACATACATATATATATGTATATATGTATATATATGACCAACTGATTTTGGAAAATGTTATACCAACCAATTCTATGTGGAAAATTTAGTATTTCAACCAATGGTGTAGAAGAATTGGTGTTTATTTGCAAAAAGAATATGAACTCTGACCCATACCTTGCACCATATGAAGAATTAATTCAAAATAGATCACAAACCTAAATGTAAAACTCAAAACTGTAAAACTTCTAGAGAACAATATGATGGAATAATCTTATGGTCTTGAGTCAGGCAAGAGTGTTTTAGATAAGACCACAAAATCACAATCTATAAAAATTATTGATAAATTGGACTACATCAAAATATATGCTCTTTGAAAAGCACCATCAAGAAGATAAATGACAAGCCACAGACAAGGAGAATATATTTGCAAAGCACTTACCTGGTAAAGTACTTGAATACATAATGTGTACAGAATGTTTAAGAATCAATAAGAAAATAAAAACATTTAAAAATGTGCAACATATTTGAATAGACATTTCACTAAAGAAGATATATAAATAACAAATAAGCATATGAAAAGATGTTCAACATCATTAATTATTAAAGAAATTCAGATCAAAACCACAATAAGATATCACTACAGACCTATTAGAATGGCTAAAATAACCAAAAACAAAATAAAATAAAATGCATGGCAGTACTTATTTATAACATCCCTATTGTCCTCATACTCCCTCTACTGAAAACACCATTTGATTGAGGTTCCCTGTTTGAAAGATTATTAAAGAAAAATGTACAACTTGAGGTCAATAGAAAAATACTACACATCAAGGAATTGCTGTCTTAAAGGTGAAAATAAAGAACACACCATTGAAAATTATTGAATAAAACAGACTAGAAAACGTCAAAGAAATTGAAAAAAATTTAGAAAGCCGTGGACATCTTAAATATGGCATAAATATACAGCTTTAATGAACTAATTCCCTAAAATATAGTAAATGGCCCTTCACCATTATCATGTTATTCAATCGTATCGTCATGGAAAGTAAAACTAGATATGACATTTTGTTTTTATTTTGCTGTCTATATATTATCTAAATCATGTATAAGTTCTGCTTTTAACAAGTTTGTGATTTGGGTAAGTCAGTGAAGTGCTCTGGTCTTTAGTTATCCTATTTGTCAAATTGCAGGATTGTCTCTTCAAGTTCAAAATTTCTACCATTACACGTATAAGCTTTCTACTTACGTGTGTAGGCTTTTCTCTAGGCATTTAAGGCTATTCATATTACACTAGTAACTATTTTTTAAAAATTGATATTATTTTATAATAAAATACTAAACATAATTTTTTAAATGTTCTTTTTAAAGATATGTGGCCAATTGTTTCTGAAAGAAAACAAAAGGTACTCATTTTTGCCACTTATTAAATTGATGTTCCATAAATACCAGCATCTTTCTCCTTGTTAACTATTAGTCGGGAGCTTTAATTATCAATTTGATTACTAATATACAGATGCTTCTCAATTTACAGTGGGTTTGCATGTTGGTAAACCCAGTAAATATAAGTCAAAAATGTATTTAATACACCTGACCTACGGAACATCATGGCTTACCTAACATGTGCTCATGACACATTAGCCTACAGTGGGCAAAACCATCTAACACAAAGTCTATTTTATAATAAAATATTGAATCTGTCATGTAATTTCTTTAATTTTTTAATTTTTAAAATTAATTTCATTCACCAAACCCAGCTTGTAATGTATTGAATTATTGTAATGTATTGAATACTGTATATTGCATCAAGATTGTGATGGTTTCACACATTGTAAAGTTGAAAAGTTATGAATTGAGGGCTGCCTGTATCCTAGTAGTTAATCTACCAAAAGATCCTGACATCTTTATCCTAATCTGGTTAGAGTTTTATTTTAAGAACATCTTTGTAAATCTAGGAATTGTTCTGCTAACCGAACAATAAAAATCTTTCAGTGTGTTTCAAGATTATTTTCTCTATTTCCCCAAACTGCCCAATTCTTGACTAAAAGTAGTACCACTGAAATTACAGAAAGCATACTTTGTTGCAGTCCTATTTTCTGTAGTAGATAAGTTTATTTCACATTAAATACGTTATTTGTGACCACTTCACACAAGATATAAAGTACAATTTCTATACTATTCCTCAAAATGAGCTCGTAACAATTATAACATTACATATATTCTATTTTTACTCAGTTTTAGCATTATGCTATAGTAAAAAGTGATAGGAAACCACTAGTGAGGCAAACAGAAATCACCAGTTCCCCCTCAGCCACCTAATGATTTGTAGTTAATGATGAAAAAAAAAAATTCTGTAACTGGGCTTCCAAAAGCAAATTTCAGTAAAATGGATATCAACACCATGAACTGAAGTTATTTTAAGTCTTTCTGTATTTAACAGCTTTTAGCAGAGCTAAGCAGTTTAGCTAAGTCATTTATTTTATTTTATTTTATTTTATTTTATTATTTTGAGACTCTCGTTCTGTTGCTCAGGCTGGAGTGCAGTGGTGCGATCATAGCTCACTACAGCCTTGAACTCCTGAGCTCAAGCGATCCTCCCACCACAGCTTTCTGAGAAGCTTGGGTCACAAGGGTGGGCCACCGTGCCTGGCTATTTATTTATTTATTGATTGTAGAGACGGAGTTCCCCTACGTTGCCCAGGCTGGTCTTCAACTCCTTGGCTCAAGCAGTCCTCCTGCCCTGGCCTGCCAAAGAGCTGGGATTACAGGCATTGAGCCATCTTGTCCTAGGCGCTAGCTAAGTCACTTTACATAGGCATGTGATAAATTTCCTCCTCACTAGACAAGGACTTGCAAACTCTAACAAAACTAAATAAAATGAGATGTGAATGAAAATTTTTATAGACTTTCGGCAAAGATTCTTTTGAACTAAGAAGAACTAAAGACTCTTTCACATCAAAGGTACAATTGTAAAGCTGAGGGTGTTAATGGTGTGAATCATGACCTTTTGATTTCTTTAAAGTATGTTTTATGGGGCTCGTGATGAGATTAAAAATTAGCATTATTTCCAGAGCTCTGAAAGCAGACATCAGATTTCCTGTTATTCAAAATGACCTACTAGAAAATCTTTGCCTAGTAGTCTTACATTTCTGTAAGTAAATATTACAGATTAAAATTCTTCCATATTCTTCAAAAAAGGATAATTTCCTCAACCACATCAAAACTTTATTTTAAAAGAAACAAACATTTATATTTATAAAAACTTGTGCAATATATTTTGTTTCAGTCATGCAAAAACTTATCACTAGACTGGTATTACTGCCATTTATAGTTGTCAAATTTCCAGTTATTAAAATATTCAATTTAATCTTTTAAATGAATGTATTTCTCACTTTAATGGAAATATGCCAGCTGTGGAATTCTAAATGTTGACACTTTCTGGAAACTACATGAAACAACAGAGAAAACAAAACAAACAAAAAATGATCCAAAAGCATGTATCTTCACCAAAACTTGGAAGCAAAACATAGAGTCAAAACTATATATATATATTCGCAGCCAAAATAAATGATACCAATGAAACCTACATGGGCAGTCGCAAACAGTGTTCAGAATTACAGAATGTGGCAGGACCCTAGATTGGAAGATCTCAAAATCCAACAGTGAACATTCATTCACAGAGGGAGAAAACCTCATCAGAATGCTGACTGTTGTGAGCAACTCTGGGCCCTTAAAAGGAGCAATAACTGGGGATGCTATTGGCAAATGATCACAGCTTATAACATTACAAATGCATATATTTTTTAATTGAAAATGCCCCTTCAATGAATTTGACCTTATATATTTGTGTGTGTGTGTGTGTGTGTGTGTGTGTGTATATACATGTGATAGTGTCCAAGGTTATTCACTGCAACATTGTCAATAATAGCAAAATAATTGAAAATGACCTAAGAGTCTGTATAATTAAGGACTAGTTCAATAAATGATGGTATATCCATACATTGAAATCCTATAGAATTGTAAACAAAATATGAGAACCATTTTTACTTACAAGCATGATGCAGTAATTTTATCAAACTAATCCTCTTGCTGAAAACAATTACTAAAGCTAGTTGGAAAAAAGAATCCATTTCAAGGAATCAAAAATCAAGTATAGTAGCCAAGAATCAAGAGTCCAAAATTCTAGAGAAGAAAGGAAATATACTGTGGTGAGTTCCATATTCATCTGTTTTGTACATTGGAGGGATTTGACAAGTTACGTAATGAGGAATGGAGGCCAAGCTAAATCTTTCAGTGGCCTCTATGGGCTGGCAAGACAGAAGTTGGAGTTCTGGCAGCCAAAGTGGTTGAAACTCAAGGGTTCAAGACTACAGAGAATGCAATTCTCTGGAGAACACATTTGCCATGCAATTTTTTCTCAAAGGCATTTGCTTACTCCCAATCTTCCATATGTAGGGTAAGACACAAGAAATCAAATAAAGTGGATAATCTAGGAGGCTAAAGATTGGAGCACAGCATTCAGCAATCTGTAGTAATACAGAATGAAGTTCAGGTCTCATTAGAGTGGAGATGACCTGGTCAACAACCCAGCTTTCATTGAGAACACAGAAAGGCAATAACCTAGGAGTAACTGCTCTAAGGCTGGGAAATAAACTAGCCCTAATACAGCTAGAATCTCAAACTCAACTGTATCAAAGCAATCTGCTCATGGTCTATCTATCTGCCAGAAAAAAATTAAATATTCTGCAACCAGGGCCTCTACAATGTTTCAGGATTTTAAAAAGTAATGTATGAAATAAGACCAAACGCAGGAAAGAAAAAGGATCAAAACCAAATAATAGAAATAGATTCCTTGTAATGCAGATATTTTATTAATCAGCCAAGGAGTATACAGCACTTATTTTTAAATTAATCATATTCTGGGCCATAAAGAATGCATCAGCATATCTCAAAGAATTGAAAATATGTAATGGAATTAAGCTAGAAGTCAAACAGAAAAAATAGCTAGCAAATTAAAAATTGTTTGTAATTCAGCAATATGCTTTAAGTAACCCATGGAACCAAAAAAAAAAAAAACAACAATGAAAATGAGAAAATATTTTAAATTTTATGATAACAAAATGTGACATAAAATGTGTTAAATGCTAAGGCAGACTTTAGAGTAAAATATTATATATATATATATATATACACACACACACACCATATACACTTCAATGCAGATGTTGAAAAAGAATTAAGAATAAGAATGAATAATCTAATCATTTATTTTAGGAAGGCAGGGAAAATGACAAAGTTTATTTTTATACGTATAAATGCAAATATCAATGAAGTAAAAAACAATGTGCAAGAAAGAATATTAAAAAATAAAGGACAATGAAAACCATTATGAAGAAGCCAAATTGGGATGAGTAACACTACTGTTATTAGCATTTGCTATGTTACCATAATTAACCCATGTGGTATTGGCACATGGATAGGCAAATAGACCAATGGAACTGAAAAGAAAATTGAGAAGCAGACTCACACATATAACATTTATCTCTTTTACAATGAAGGAACCCTTACAACATAGTGGAAAAAAATTGTCTTTTGAGTAAATGGTGCTGAATTATCTATATATTCATATAGAAAAAGTCGACTTTTTCTACTTCACCTTATATACATAAGATGAATCCTACCCAGATTGTAGACCTAAATGTGAAAGGTAAAACAAAGTTTCTGTAAGTTCATAGAGGAAAATATCTTTATGGCATTAAGATAAGTAAGAATTTCTTAAGTTGGGCTTAATAAGCACTATTTATAAAGGAAAAGATAAATTGGGCTACTTTAAAATTTAAGTTTCTGATAAAGATGGATTTAAGAGAGTAAAGTTACAAGCCACAGAGTAAGAGAACACATTTATAACACATATAGCTAATTAAAGACTTGTAATGAAAATATATTAAAAATCCCTATGCAGTCATGTACCACATAACAATATTTTAGTCAATGATAGACTTCATATACAATTGTGGTCCCATAAGATTGTAATGGTGTATTTTAATATACCTTGTCTGTGCTCAGATATGTTTAGATACATACATACTGTGTTGGTTCATTTTCACACTGCTGATAAAGACATACTCGAGAACTGGGCAATTTACAAAAGAAAGAGTTTTAATGGACTCACAGTTCCAGATGGCTCGGGAGGCCTCACAATCATGGTGGAAGGGAAAAGACACGTGTCACATGGCAGCAGACAAGAGAAAAGAATGAGTGCCAAGGGAAAGGGGTTTCCCCTTATAAAACCGTCAGTTCTCATGAGACTTATTCTATACCATGAGAATAGTATGGGGGGAACCACCCCCATGATTCAATTATCTCCCACTGGGTCCTTCCCACAACACGAGGGAATTATAGGGCTACGATTCAAGATGAGATTTGGGTGGGGACACAACGAAACCATATCACATACTTTCCATTGTGTTACAATTGCCTACAGTATTCAGTACAGTAATATGCTGTTCAGGTTTGTAGCCTGGGAAAAAGAGGCCATATCACATAGCCTAGGTGTATAGTAGGCTATACCATCTGGATTCCTGTAAGTAGTACATTCTGTGATGTTTACACAATGACACAATCAACTAATGACTCATTTCTTAGAATGTATTCTCATCATTAAAGACCCATGACCGTATTTTTAAAAAGACAAAAATCTAATTAACAGAAGTCCAAAAAGCTTAATCAGAGTCTACATAAAAGAGGATATCCAAATAATCAATAAACATAACACAAGTGTCTCAGTATCACTAGTCATCAGGAAAATCCAATTTATAAGATCAATGATGTTCCACTTCCTACCCATCAGAAGTTAAAATCAACAAAACTTATAATAGCAAGTGTTGGCAAGGATCTGGAGCAGCTGGAACACTTATACTCAGTCAGTAGAGTATACATTGGTACAACCAATGTATCAGTCCATTTGCATTGCTATAAAGGAATACCTGAGACTGAGGAATTTATAAAGAAAATAGGTTTATTTGGCTCACAGTTCTGTAGGCTGTACAAGCATGGCACCAGCATCTGCTTAGCTTCTGGTGAGGCCCAGGAAGCTTCCAATCATGGTGGAAGGCAAAGGGGAACAGGTGTGTCACATGGTGACAGAGTGAGCAAGAGAGGGAGGGAGGGGGCACCGGGGTCTTTTAAACAACCAGATCTAGTGTGAACTAAGAGTGAGAATTCACTCATTATTGTGAGGACAGCACCAAGCCATTCATAAGGGATCCACCCCCAAGACCCAAACACCTCCCACTAAGCCCACCTCCAACACTGGAGGTCACATTTCAACATGAGATTTGGAGGGGACAAAACATCCAAACCATATCAAGCAGTTAGAAAATTGTTTGATATTATCTACTAAAGATGAACATTCTCATACTCGATAAGCCAGTAATTCTACTCATGTGTATAATGTCCTCCCCTACTCTGCACACACATAAACGCAGTAAAAGGCACTAACCAGACTGTTTAAAGCAGTGTTATTTTTAATAGACAAAAACCTGAGACAGTGTGAATTACCACACATAGTAGAATGTATAAATAAATTTGTTGGTATATGCATACATGGGTAATATAAGACAATGAAAAAGAAAAAAAATTACTTCTACATGTAACAAAATGAATGAGTCTCAAAGGTGTAATATTGAGAAAAGAAACTGGGTACAAAAAAGATGTAATTTACTATTTCATTCATATGAAAGTCAAAACAATTGAAACAGTTCTTCAATGATAGAAATCATAACAGTGGTTCACCTGAGGGTATTGACCATGTGAAGCATGAATGAGGCTTCTGGGTTGCCGTTAATGTCCCACATTTTGATTTCAGTTGTGATTTCATAGATGTATCTGGCTCTACACTTGAGATGTGTGCACTACACTGTGGGTATGAGATCTGTCTATATCTGTATCTATGTCTATTGGTAGAAATGAGAAAACTTTGTATATACCTGTATACAAATAATCTAGGATACATGGTTAAGAAAAGAAGGCACTGAATAATGCTTGTAATATGTAACATTTGTGTAAGAAAAATAAACAATAAGAATATATTTTTGTTTCCATTTGTATTTTCATGAGACCCTATAAATGTGCTTAGCCGTAGAAAGTATAGGAGTGAATGGGAAAGTGAGGCAACAGAGATGAGGTGAAAGGACACTTTCCGTGTCCTCTTATAATACCATTTTGATATTGAATAAAGTTAATATATTCCTAATTTTAAAAATATTCTTTGATACATGTATGTTCCAAAGATGAAAGTAATTTGTTTGCTAGCTACATTGTTCCTCAAAATTGCTAGAATGCAGTTGTGTTTCCCTTTTCTATAAAGCATTGCTTCCTTTGCGAAGAATGCACCTTCCATTCAGATCATCCATTTAGATAAGTTCATCTGTGCCCATGTTTGCATCAAATATATTAAATGGTTTCTCACTGAGTTGTGTGTGTGAGTGCACTGAGACACACACACACACACACACAGAGTGAGAGAGAGAGAGAGGGAGAGATGTTTTTTCCTAAGCAAACACCATACACTAAATGTTTTAATGTTTTGAGATGCTTCCTTTAGTATTTATTTTAACACTACCTTCACTAACTTAGATTGCTGGAATACCTTCAGACATTTTAGTGAGTGCTCAACCCTTGGCGGTGTCTTGGGGTACATGAGTCACTTTTCCGTCTCAGCTCTCATTCAGAGTATCACTTTTCCACAGGCCTCTTACATGGTCCATGTGTTCTGATTCAGTGGGTTGAAGGATATTCTGCTGTCACTGATTTATAGCAACTCTGTGAAAATGACACAAAACTAAATTTTTTAAGTGCAAAATTGTTTTTGTCAGTGTAATGTTCCCATTTTTGTATTTGGTTCGTGTAGCTCTGATTTTTATTCGCCGCTTTGGCTAATTCCACTTGGCAACACTAGGTCTAAAATGCAGGTTGCATTTGGATCATTTAATAACAAAACTGGAAGGAAATTTGAAAGATCTTAGCAATAGTATCACTTTACAAGGTACATTTCCATAATATTCCTTGCCAAAGATGAAAGTCCTTTTGCTGCTGTAGCACTTTTATTTTCATTTGGAGATGAAGTATTGAAGGACAGAGAAGATAAATGACCAGAGTTACTCCTAGAGTTAAAGTCTGACCTTGGGTTTGTGGACTCCTCATCCGGTGGGCTCTCCACCACAGCACGGTTGTTCTGAAAAGACATCTGGCCTGACAGAGCTATTCAGAGGCATGGAGTGTTCTACCTACCTACCATTGTTATTTAAGAGAATTTGAGCTGTGGTGGGTAAAAAATAGTTCTAATGACTTAGTTAGAGTACTTAACTCATGTTAATAGTTCAACAAGAAGCATACATAAGTGAATTGATGATATTGCAGAGGGCAAATGGCCTGGAGCTGGATGTGGCTGTATGAGAAACTAAGAATTTCCTTCTTTTTGCTATCATTGCTTTGATAACATGTGTTTCTTACTGGAACTTGTATGACTCAAATACTAATATGTAATAATTCACTTCATCAATTATTCTGAGCTCTTCTTTAGAGTTCAAGTGTGTTTTACAATTATTTGTCTTTCTTATTTTATTAACCTGAATCTTCGGAAAAGCTGAATTTAAAAAAGTTGTTTTTGCTTTCTTGTTATTTGGGCCACATTTTTTTTAACGACTAATGATTTTTCAATAGTTGGATAGTTTGGGAAAATAAAGGTCTTTATTTTACACACAAAGGAAAGCATCTACAGTAATAACTAAATGTTTCATGGACATATATGATTAATGAGGGGGAAAGGAAAGGTACAGGATAGAGCTGATATAATCCTGAAAGGAGTGGGGCAAAAAATGCTGCAAGGAGGCCAGCTACTGGGAAGTCGTGCTGAGTTTCTATTTCTTAATTAGTTTGCAAGTAACAAAGGGAAGCTTTTATGATGGTGACGATATCATATGGAGTTACAAAGGGCAGGAAGGATATGAATAGGATTAGAAAAAGATTCGAGCTTTCAATCGCATTTGTTCTGCTGCTTACTAACAATGTGCCTCTAGGCCTGCCACCTAACCTCTCTGACATTTATTTTCTTTACTGTAAAGCAATTGAATGCAACACACTCTTAAGGCACTTTTCAGCTTTCAAGTAGGAAAAAAGACAAGTCTTTTCATAGAGGGTTACATGTCTATCACCAAGTATAATTTGCAAGATGGATTTGAGGATACTGGAAAAATAAGTCAATATTTGTAATAACACCCTGAAAACTGAAGAACATTTGGGAGTTAGCTGATCAAGGTTCTAGGCCTGGTTTTGAAGTAGTCAGTTACTTTGGGCAAATTTTCAAGTTTCTCTAAGGATTAGTTTCATTTTCTGTATGTGCCACTTGGCTTATATGGTCACTGAGTTTTCTATCAGCAATATTTGTTATCTCCTTTGCTTTTTTCTCCAGAAAAATTACTCAAGGGTACAAGTTAAATCTCTAAAATACACAGTATCACAATACCAGTTTCTAAAATATTTCTGCAAGAAGTTAAAAGGTTTTGAAAAGATATGCCAGAATGAGTCAACATACAGGTGCTTTTGCTAGGGTTCATTAAAAAAAAAAAAGAAACAAAAAAACACTTGCCCCATTTGAATAATGATTTATCAGGCTTTAGGAAAACTAAATATAAATCAAAAACCTAAGGAAAAATCGATTCTTATTTTCAGATCTTTATCTATTAAGAGGGGATGAAGGGTGGGTAAACGCAGGGATGTAATGGGAGTAGTGTGTACCAATTGTGCAAAATAACTAAAACAATTATGAAATGCTTACATATTCCTGGCCAGTATAACTTGAATTATGAATGAACCATTAAAGACAAAGATTCTTAATCAACCATTTATCTTTTCCTTTTAAAATGTAAGGCATCAAACTTGGAAGATCTATAACTATTTTATTAGACGGTAATATATAAACAAATGACAGTTCAGATAATATTTTTAAAGTGCTATGATCATTGTAACTTTAATCAGATAAAACGTAATTATTATTAACATTTTTACATTATAGCTGATTTGTCTAAATTCTAATTACAATAAAATATATCGTTTTATCTTATCAAATAGTTTTTATATTGAGAGTGAAAGAAACAGTAAAATAGTCAGAGGAAAAACTAGTGCCATACCCAAAAGTATTACTTCAGAAATTTACTTTAATATCATATTTATATTAAAATATTTTATTTGTCTCCATGGTATTTCTATGAGATATTAGACTGTTTGTCCCTATATCCCTATTTTACTCATGGAGAAACAAACATAGTATGTTTAGTAAATTTTTCAAGGTCATTCACTATGTCAGAATAGCGCTGGGAATCTAATTTATTATATTTTTCTTGTACAATACAGCACCTAACACAGCGCCCTAAAAGAGTAGGTATTCAATAAACAGTCATTGAATGAAAGAATTAATGGACAAACCATTCTGTTCTATGAAATCTAAAACATCTATCATATTTGCTATTTCTTTACTCAGTAAATTCAGCAGGCTGGAGGAGCAGTTGAGCAATAAACTTTATGCACTCTCCTACCCACAAGTTTAGATTGTCACCTGAAGGGGCTTTGCAAGATGGTATTGTCTGGTCATTCCTGAAATTATACACTTCCAGGATGTCCCACATACCCCATAAAGAGAGTCATTAATCTGGTTCATGTGACACTGGCTTTCGTGGTGTGAATGTGGTCCACCAGCTTTTGGCAGAGACCAACTTCTTTCACAAAAGTCTCCAAAAATGCATTATTAGTAATGAATGTATTACTGATACCTAGCCTAATGATTTTTAGTGACTGTTTTATATCTTGGTCCTAAAGAACCGTAGTTAGTGGCAATCCTTGAAAATAAATCACTTGGCTAGTATTGGCTCTGGCTATCTCAGGCCTTGCTGATGGTAATTACAATGCTAGAAAGGATAACTCAATTTATTTCCTGAGTTAATTTGTCATAAGTTCAGTTGCAATTGTAAACATGATAAAGGTCACAGAGGCATGACTTTTAGAGTTGATAAAAACAATGTAGTAAAGAACACGAGTATTTATATTACCAGGAATATGACAAAAACATAACAGTCATTCCCAGGGATGCACTGTCGAGTAGATTAAAAATTGTTATCCATGTCATTGGCACTGATGACCAGTTACCTAAAATACAAGTAAGACATCTCACGAAGGCATTTAAGGCTAAAATGAATTCCTTAAACTTTGATGGCATTCATATTTTGCCATTATGAGAAAGAAAAACATTTTACTTCACAGAAAGAATGTATTAAAGTGAAATGAAAATATTTTTATATTTGTCACCCAAATTTAGTGATTGATCTAAAATTTCACCCAGGTGACATTTTTATTAAGACACAGTCTGGAGAAATTTCAGAATTCCACATCTCATTTGCTAATATTTTAAACAAACGATTCACCAGACCTGACTAATTGAATGGTGTATTTCCACTGGACTGAATGTCCTAATTATCATTCAAGACATATCTTAAAGATTTATCAAGCATTTACTCTCCACCTTACCATGTCTAAAGCTCAGAGATATTTTGAGCTCTAAAAGAGTATCACAAGAAATTTATAGCAGTCTGTAGTACAACTATTACCCATTCTTAGAGCAAAGCCACAACTAAAATAGAAATAGACAAAAATAAAATAAAATCATTAAGCATCAACTTATTGGGTAAATTAAGTTTAGATACCCATATGATGCAAAAGGGTCACTTTTATATAAGCTTCCCCATCTTTTAAACTTAGAGCACAGTCTATGTTGTCATTAAAAAAATAATAGCTAACTGAAGCCAGGAATTCATTTTGCAATTGTGTCAATTATTTTAAAGATACCATTATTAAGTAAACTTTAAATTAGTTTGTGTACAACCTTATAGTGACTGGAAATAAGATAAATACAAGCACCCCCTCCCACCGCAGCAAACACACATAACAGATTCTTGAGACTTAGACCCTTAAACATGTCTGCTCATCACTCAATCCATTTGGCCACCCTTTCCGTCCACACCAGGCCAAAGAGCAAAATGTTTTCACAGAAATTCTCTGGGTTGCATATTCTTAATTGCCTGAACTACTGTGGACAAAACATCACATTTTTAAAATCTTAAAGCACTTGTAAGGGTCATACATGTGTGTTTACTGTCCTTGTTGCTTCTGTCCTGGAGAATTTGCTTGACCAGAGCTCTCTCCAGGGCGGTCTGCAGGAGTGAAAGGAAACTGAAATCCATAGCCATTGTACCCATCCAAGTAGACACACTGGAAGAAACTGATGGGACCTAAGGAACAGAGCATGACAGTTTGTTAAAACATGCAGAACATGAGCAAAAAAGCACAGTGAGGCAGTGCAGTGCAGCAGATAAGGTCACAGATTCTGCCAGCAGCCTCCGTAGCTGTTGGCAAGTTACTAAACTTCACTGTGTCTTGGAGTCTTTATGTATAACATCAAAACAACGAAAACCGCACAGAAATATTATGACAGTTAAATGAGTTACATGAGTTACATGTGCTCTTAAAATTCTTCCTGGTATGTAATAAGCCTTTAATAAGTGATAATAAAAATGGCCTGGCAGAGAAAGTCAAAGTTCTGATCATATAGACATCTGTTGATGTGCATAGCAATCATAGAGACATAGTCACAGGTTTCAAAATATGAGCTTATCAATATGCAAAGCAACAGACTGTGTGTGTGTGTTTTATAATGTCACAGAGAGGTGGTGCCAACATCTAGAAGTTTTATTTGCCCTTACTTTAGAGGCAAGAGCTTTCCTAAGGTGGCTTGGTTGCTCTTTGAGCAACAAAGGTAGCAGCCAGGTAGCAGCTCTGAGTAGAAAGCAAAACAGGAAAGTTAAGGGAGTGTGGTGCAAGTAAGGACTCTGGACTCAGTAAGCCGGTGCTCCCAGGTAGCAGCTTTGGTAAAAGATGGCGAGTTTAGCATCTCCTCACAATCTTGGGTGCCTACAAACTTCCAGTGTTTTCTATCCTATCCATTTGCATTCTGTCAACCAGCCATAGATTTTTGCAGAAGGCCAGGAAAGAAAAATCATAGTTAAAGCTAGTGGTGTGTGGGAGATAAAGAAGATGGCCAAATCCATATGAGACTAGGGGTTTATGAAGTAGAATAAAGCAAAGGATAGGAAAAAAGGAAGCTGGAGAAGCAACCAGGGAGTATTCTGATTCCATTTCCATGGGTCACTGGGTTTTCAGGGATGACAATAGTTTGAAGAATCTTGAATTTAGTTATCTTTTCCAATGCATCTCATCTGGAATGATTTCTCTTTTCTTCTATCTTCAAACCGAAGCAATAATACAACTTCCGTCTCTTCAAGTTTGTGGAGGTTATGGGAGCTTGGGGGTTAGGCAGGCTACAAGAGGGACAGTAGTAAAGCCGGCCCTGCACAAGGAGAAATGGAAATCCATTGCTAAAAGTAGAAGGGCCCATCAATGACAGGCTGCCTTCCAGCTGCTTATCAGAAGTGGACACTGTTTTGACACATTTATTTAATTGATGTTGAATAAGCTACTCATTAAAATATTATTATGACTGCAAATATTAGAGCTTAAATTAAAGGCTCATGAATATCAGGCTATAGAACTGCCTTCTTGTAAGACGAAGATAGCAAATATCATTTTGATGCAATAGATCCCCCAACTGAGGTTAGAATATTTGACACCATTTTACTAAAAGTATTTGCGTTTTGTTTTTAATTAAAATTTTTACTTTGAAATAATTGTAGACTCACATGTAATTGTAAGAGTTAATACAGAAAGATACCACATATCTTCACCTAGTTTCCTTCAATGGTAACATATTGTAAAACTATAGAACAATATTCCAACTAGGAAACTGGTATTGATACAATTCACCTGTCTCATTGAATTATATTTTAATAGTTATTTAAAATATATGAGATTTCAAATGTTTATGTGACATAGCCACAAATTATTACCAGTAGGTTAATAATTGGGAAAGCGTTGCTATATAAAATGAAAATATGTCCAGATTGACCTATAATTCTTTTTCTTATGGATTTTGTAATATTACTCAAAGTATCATAAGACTCTGCTTATTTCCCTATATTTCTCACAACCTTATTATATGAAGGATTATAATAAGTGTCTTATCTACTGCAGTAGTTCCAGCATCCAAAGAAGTACTTGGAACATAGTAGGCATTCAGTATCTGTCTAATGAATCACCTATTAATACAGAGTAGGAGGCATTTGCTATTGTAAGGGGCACTTTAGTAATTTCCTGCACAAAAACATCCAAAAAGCACTGGAGAATCAAGAGACGTCATTTCTTCAGACAAATATCTAGCTCTTTACTTTAAAAGCATTATGTGACACAAACTTCAGTTATACCTATTTCAAAAATTGCTTCCTTTATTCTGTTCTGCAATGACTTTAATGCAAATACAGATTTAAAATTTATTGCTTTACCATATGAACAAAAATGTCTAATTTGGAAGAACCGAAATAATGAGAAACTTGGGCATTGAATTTTGTAACTGCACATGAATATTGATTGGATTCTAAAATAAATGATCCCAAAGTTTGAATATTTAGAACCTACCATACATCTAGCAAAATCAAAAAGAATCTTGAATCTTAGAAGTGAGTTTCCAAGCAATTGAATTGCTAAAACCTATTTCTTCATTTTTTCTACCTGATATAAAAAAATTTGGCATATTACTTCAGCTGTCCTATTATAAAGCAGGCAGTAAGACACATTTAAGCATAGATTCAGCCAGAGTACTAAGGATCAGAAATATGTAGAAGGATTTGCGATAAATGCCACTTCAACCATTACTTGTAACTCTTCCAACTATCTGCCTCTTGCCTAACACAAAAGTGATACGCTTCTTTTTAAAATATAAATGACCTACTTTAATGTTATTCTTCATGTCTATGCTAAAAAATTTTTTCTTCGAATACTGGTCTTAAGAGAGTCTAACATTTTTACATAGATGTAGCATCTTTAATACAGAATGATTTATTACTTTTAATCTCATTATAAACTTACTTTTCTGCTTTGTGGGAGACACATCTTCAGTTCCTTCTAGTGGATAAAAAATATAAAAGTAAATAACTTGTACATTTACAACTTTTATATAAATATATATGGGACTGAGAATGTCTAAACAGAAGCACACTATGAAAGAAACAGGAGTTACCCTTTTTATAGTATACTCCAGATTTGTACACAGATTCTATTCATATTTTCACTGTAAAATTTAATAGGCAAGAGCCAGAGAGAGAAAGGGAACCCATGAAAAAAATGTCACGCTACAAACAATTGTTTAAATAGGAAAACTGGCCCTGATGTGTCAGATATTCATTAATGAGGATAGTTGACATGCATCCCTTTCCTGAGAAGGGATCTTTGATGCTCAGAATTACAATTTGGTAAGGGTAAAATCTGGCTAAAGATGAACATTTTAGTCAAAATAATCCCAAATTTGGAGGGACATATGTTTTTCGTGATCATCCTTGCCATGAAAGTAGAGCAGCAGCCCAGTATCCTGCATTCTTCCCTTTTCACGTCTGATTCACTGACTATTTATTTATTTTTGCTGTAGTAATATCCATCGCAAATTTATGTAGTGTTGCATAGCTTGAAACTATTTCTTTGAATCCCTTTCTTCCGATTAGAAGTTCTTAACTGGTATCCACGAATGGGGTTTTGGGGGTTTTTCTATAAAACATTGAAATAATTAGAAGTTGTGAGAGAGTGTGTGTGTGTGTTTGTGTGTACATGTGTGTTAGTGTGTGTGTTTCATAGAAAGTTAGGTTTACAGATCTTATCAATTTTTCAATTGGTTCTAGAGCGGTTCCCCTCAGAGTGTAATCTATATACCACTAGTTTCAGCATCAATTGATTTATTTATATAAATGCAGATTTTTAGGTTCTAACTCAGATATTTAATTCTAGGGAGACCTACAGTTGATCTGTATAAACATTAAAGTTTTAGAAGCACTGGTCTATGAGTAAAAAACCTATTAGGGTGGCTAGTCTTAATTCAATTTAAAAAATATATATATAAAATATAGTATTCAGAAAGGTGTCTTAATACAAGTGTAAATCTCAACTTTTATTTGATAAGGTCCTGACCTGTGTGTGTTTTCTCAAAGCACTATTTTCCACATTGTTGGTTAATTTTGGGCACTGGCAAAGAATTTATACTTCGTTGGCTAGAACAATGCTTAGGCAAATACTTATTGCCTGCAGACAAATTTAGAAGTGGAAGAGAAAATACTTTTTTTTTATATGCAAACTGTGTACCTGGCAAAGGTCTAATATCCAGGATCTATAAAGCACTTAAACAAATTTACAAGAAAAAAGCAAACAACCTCATTACAAAGTGGTCAAAGGACATGAACAGGTACTTTTCAAATGAAGACATACATTCAATCAACAAGCGTATGAAAAAAAGCTCAACATCACTACTCATTAGAGAAATGCAAATCAAAACCACAATAAGATAACATCTCACACCAGTAAGCATGGCTATTATGAAAAAGTCAAAAAATAACATATGTTGAGGAGCTTGCAGAGAGAAGAGAACACTTGTAGACTGTTGGTGGGTGTGCAAATTAGTTCAACTATTGTGGAAAGCAGTGTGATGATTCCTCAAAGAGCTAAAAACAGAACTATCATTCAACCCAGCAATCCCATTGCTGGATATAGCTGGAGGTCATTATCCTTGGCAAACTAATGCAGGAACAGAAATCCATATACAGCATGTTCTCACTTAAAGTGGGAGCTAAATAATGAGAAAACATGAACACAAAGACGGGAGGAACAGACACTGAGGCCTACCCAACGGTTGAGAGTGGAAGGAGAAAGAGGATCAGAAAAAATAACTAATGGATGGCAGGATTAATACCTGGGTGATGAAATAATCTGTACAACAAACCCCCATGACATGAGTTTACCTATATAACAAACATACACATGTACCCCTAAACCTAAAGTAAAAGTTCATTTCTTTTTAACATAATGCCTATTTTATAGCAGCCCTAATGAAAAAGCCAGGAACCTTTCAGAAAAAAAATCAAGTTAGCTGAAGCCCTCATTCTACAGATGGAGAAATTTTGTCCTGGAAATACTTTATGAAGTTCGTACATCTGGAGATCGCAGGTTTTCCTGACTGTTTGTCCTCTGGCTTGGGCTGGAAGAGTGCAGGGGTTGAGTCCAGCCTTCCATTTCTTCCTTCCTTCCTTCCTTCCTTCCTTCCTTCCTTCCTTCCTTCCTTCCTTCCTTCCTTCCTGATGGTGCTGCTAATATAGGTGACTCATCTCAAGTCTTCTTAATAAAATCATGGCATTCTTGTAATTCTTAATGGAATAGTGATTTTGAAGTATTATTCCTGTAGATTGGCAAATAAATGCATCTGACAATTGTAAATAAATCAATACCCAACTAGTGTTTTTAATATGTGAAAAGATGTATATTTTCCAAATAATGTTAAAAAGCTGTTTGCTTTAAAAATAAGCCTACCATGTAAATGTTGCCTAGAAAAGCTTAAGACTAGATCAAGAATAGCTAGGAAAAAAAAAAAAAAGACAGACAAAAACCTTATAGCTTTGAGAGAAAACTTGTAAATGATCCAAAGACAGCAAACTCACCTTTAGCTTTCTTTGAAGCTGGTACATCTTCAACATCTTCTAGAGTACAGAAAAAAGGCACATAGAATCACAGTCAATTTTTCAGTTTTCCCAGAGGAAGTATTGTATTTAAAGGTTTTTAAGAGTCACAAGATCCCTGAATCTACAAACTCAGCATCTACAGTCTCCATAAATAAGAGCTGTCTGACCAAAACAGGCACTTCTCTGACTTGGAGAGAGGATGTGGAGAAAATGATGAGTGCTGCACTATGGTAATCAGGCTGGTAAAGGTTACTTAGGGAAAAGGCTTGTGGTGACCTCCAACACCCACCCCCAGGTTTCCCTCCTCCTCTGACTCCTAAAGCTCCTTTCAAAAATCATAATCATTTATAGAATTTAGGAAAGTTAAGGTAAATGGTTTCACGCATACAGCCTAGATAAAGAGATCAGTGTCTACCCACACAATTTATTAGCAGATTGATTAGATTTTAGCCTTTTTGACAATTCTAAAAAGCCCAGAAATAAACCCATGCACATACATGAGTCAACTAATCTTTGAAAAAGGTACCAAGAATAAACAATGGGGGAAAGATAGTCTCTTCAATATATACTGTTGGGAAAACTGGATATCTATATGCAAAAGGATGAAAGTGGACCTTTATCTTCCACCACCCCAAAATCAATTCAAAATGGATTTAAAGACTTAAATGTAAAACTGAAACACTTTTAAAAGTAAGCACTGGGGAAGAGCTTCTTAACATTGGTATTGGCAATGATTTTATGAATCTGACACTAAAAGTATAGGCAACAAAAGCAAAAATAAACGATTGGAACTATATCACACTAAAATGTTTGTGTACAGCAAAGGAAACAATGAACAAAATGAAAAGGCAAATTATGAAATGGGAGAAAATATTTGCAAGCCATATATCCAAAGGAGGTTGATACCTAAAATATATAAGACATTGATACAACTCAATAACAAAAAACAAATAAATGGGCAAAGGATCTGAACAGACACTTTTCCAAAGACATACAAATGACCAACAGGCACGTGGAAAGATGCCTTATATTATTAATTATCATGAAATGAAATAAAACCACAATGAGATATTACCTCACATCTGTTAGACTAGTGATTATCAAAAAGTCAAATGAGATGTGCTGGTGAGGATTTAAGAGAAAAGGGAACTCTTGTTCACTTTTGATGGGAATGTAAATTGGTATTGCCATTATAGAAAGCAGTATGGAGGTTCCTCAAAAATTTGTTTGTTTATTTATTTATTTTACCACTAGACAATAGTCATCCTCAACATATTTAAGAAGAAGCTACCATATGATCCAGCAATTTCACTTCTGGGTATATATCCAAATATTTATCAAATATATTGTATGCTTGAAACTTTCTAAGAGAGTAGATCTTAAATGTTCTCACCACACAGACACACACACACACACACACATACACACACATACACACACACAGAATGGTGGTAACTACGTGAGGTGATGGCCATGTTAATTAGCTTGATTTTGGTAATCATTTCATAATGTATATGTATATCAAAATATCACATTGTATATCAAATATATATATAATTTTTATTTCTCACTTATATCTCAATAAAATTAGTGGGGAAAGGAAGACACTACATTTGAACTAAAGCTCAAATACATACACAATGACTCTTAAGTTGTATTGTGTAAATCACTTGGTCTTTTCTGCATTCAACTTACAAGCACATATTGGAATAATGTGGAAGTAATTTTAAGTCTGAGGCAATTCTAATGCAATATAACGGAATGATGCTTTAATTTTTAACATTTGAAATTATCTGAAAGAAGGTCAGTTTTGTCTTATTTATTTAGATTTTGCATACTAACTGTTCACTAATAAATGAAAAAGGGGTAAGATAGGGTCAGTATGCAAATTTCGTCTAACAGGAAAGCAATGTGACCTTTATAGAAAAATGCTATTATGTAGAAGAACACAACAGAAAAAGAAACAAAATTACTAGAATTTTTTTTACTATATATTATTAAACTTTTGATCTGGTCAGTTGTAAATAATATTTAAACATAGGTTTAACTCAATTAAATACTGGATAAAATGACCATGGTCTTGAACTGCTTAATCAACTGCTATAAATAATGAAACAGTACAAACTGTTATATGATGTTGTGAAATAACTTAATATCTATATTTTAAAAATGATGTCAGTTCCTAAACAAATCAAATAATATCTTAATTGTGTAATAAGGTCCTATTAATTCCTATGAAAGTTCTGTACAAAAATAAAATGAGGCAAAGTCCGTGTCCAAAAGGAACATATATTTTATTTTTGTAGATTATAGCACACTTGAAACTTATTCTTTGGATCCATTTATTACCACTAGAAAAATAAATACAAATGGAAGGAATAAAGACCTCAGTGTCTTCAGATTCTATATTCTGATCCAGCATCAACTGGCTATAAGTGACAAAAGCTGGCAAGAGCTGAGTCACATGTCAATCGCTCAGGAGACAGAAGCACAAGAAAGTAAACGGCAAACCTAGGACAGTTGCTATAGAGATGCATTTTCTGTGGAAGAGACTTAGCAGCAAACATTTACAGAACTAGGAATAAAATTCAAGAAAGGAATAAGGCACTTACTGTCTACTTATTCTTACAACTTGCACGTTGAGTGAGTGGTAGTTTTGATAAAACAAATATTTGACTCTGAGAAGGTAGAATCATGGCAGTGAAAGGAGTGTCAAAATGTGCCAATGAAATTTTAAAGAGTGACCTGCTTTGTCGGACTGTCAGGAAAATGTTTAATGAAGGAAGTAAAATTTGAAATGGGACTTATAATATTTTCAAGAAGGAGATGCCAAAATTAAAGTGAGGGCAACAATATGAAAAAAGGCTAGAGACAGCGAAGGACAGAGATATTCAGGGAGTAGAGGAGACGTTCTGGAAAACTTGGATAAGATTATCATGTGGAACATCTTATACATCAGGCTAAGTACCCTCAACTAAATTTCATAGCTAGTCAAGGTTGCTCAAGAGACAAATAATGTTTTAGAGATGTACTTGGTAGAAATAAATAAGACTAGAGCATGAGAAAATGAATGCAGAGAATGCAATTTGGCAAGTGTTCTAATAGCACAGAAATAGTACATTCTCCAAGTAGGAGTCACTGAAGGAGTTAAATACAAAAAAAGGCTTTGCCAAAAGAATGAAATAGAACTAAATACAAGTAAGAACAAGAGATTGGTACTATAAGGAAAATAACGATATGTTATTTGAGTTTGGAGAAAGACAGTGGTGCCACTCCCAACTACAATGAAGTCCCTAGGGGACACTGATATTTGCTGGGGATAATGAAAAGTTCAATTCTCTATGGGTTGAACTGTGGTGCTAGGCCAGTCATGCAGTTGCAAATGCTTAGTAGGAAACAAGACAGAGCTGGCAAGATGTCTGAAAAGGTTAGAAGTGATATGCATCAAGTTAATGGGCAAAACTCAGTAAATTGTGAGATCATCACTTTTAATTTTTGCAAAATAGTTAATATTTCTTAAGATTTTCTACATGCTAGGCCCTATTAAGTTATTTCATATGTGTTAACACGTTTGATCCTGAACAACAACCATATGAGGCAAGGACTTTTTTGTTTGTTTGTTTGTTTGTTTGTTTGTTTTTGTTTGTTTTTTGAGATAAGATCTCACTCTGTCACCCAGGGTGGAGTGCAATGACGCCATCCTGGCTCACTGCAACCTCCGAGGTGAGGACTTTTATACTGAATCTACTGTACAAATAGAGGAGAGAGAGGTCCTGCCCAAGGTCACAAAACTCATGAGTGGCAGAGACAGAACAAGAACATAATCCAAATCTCCTATATCAGGGCCTCTTGAAAGAGTGTTGAAATTTATCCCATGAATAGTACACCTGCTATGTGCCAGCCACTGTTCTAAACATAATCCAAATCTCCTATATCAGGGCCTCTTGAAAGAGTGTTGAAATTTATCCCATGAATAGTACACCTGCTATGTGCCAGCCACTGTTCTAAGCACTTTATAAATGTTAACACTTTTCACCTCCTCAGAATATCTGTGAGGAATATACTCTTATTGTTCCTATTTTATAGGTGGGACAATTAAAAATCAGAGAGATTCAATGTCTCAGAGCTATAAGAAGTGAAAGAACTGGTTTTTAAGACTATGGCATTCTGGTTCCAGAGATGGTGCTGTTAATCACTAAGCCATTCTGCCTGCATTAGTTTGTTTTCATACTGCCATAAAGAACTGCCCAAGATGGGTAATTTATAAAGGAAAGAGATTTAATTGACTCACATTTCAGCCTGGCTGAAGAGGCCTCAGGAAACTTACATCACGGCAGAAACAGAAGTCAACGTGTCCTTCTTCACATGGTGGTAGGGAGAAGAAGAATGAGAACTGAGCAAAGGGGACAAACCCTTTATAAAACCCTCAGATCTCCTGAGAACGTACTCACTATTGTGAGAATAGCATGGAGGGACTGCTCCCTTGATTCAATTACCTCCCACCAGGTCCCTCCCACAACATGTGGGGATATGGAAATATAGTTCAAGATGAGATTTGGGTGGGGACACAGCCAAACCATATCACTGCCTCTGGAGGATGAACTTCTAAACCCACTTCTCTCTGATTCTAGTACCCATGCATTATGTTGCCTAACATACCTGCTGGCAGGCTCTGACAGAGTCAAGTTATGCATGAGCCACACACACACTTGTGCAGAACAGAAATGAAGGAGAAGGCATTCCACTAACCCCCTTAAAATGAGAGGGGGTGCTAAATGTGTCCCTCTGCACTTCTAACAATCTACTCTCCCTCAGTGGCGATGAAAAGTTACTTAGTTGTCTTTGAAAATAAAGACAATGAAGAGGTAAGCATAATATTTTTTCTGTTTGCCTAAACATTATAAGTAGTGTAAGCTACAGTTATTTCTAACATTGAAGAATAAAATTGTACTATCTTGACTTTCAAATTCTAGAGTTCATTCTTCGCTTACATAGAAACAGATTCCAGAGGAATCAGAGATAGCAGTGAATCCATCCTCCTATCCAAGCAGTTGTCTGCACTATAATAGAGTCATGAAAAAATGGGCCATCTTGTCTGTATGGCTGTCATTTTAATCAAGGACTAGGTTTTGTATAACTCTTCAATACTTATTTAATTGGGCCTACTGACACAAGGGTTCTTAAATAGCTATCAGTTTATTAAAAATCAATAAATTTACAATAGAAAGTCCTGGATTTTGTTTGGTCAAGTAGTCCTTGTATTTTCTGGTTAACTGAAGGACTTTCTCCTTTGTCCTAAATCCATGACTTGCTTCATTTCACATAACTGTCTGTTTCTACACTTAAGAAAAGTGTTATTCTGTGATCAAGTGGAATGCCTGAAAAAGTAAGAAATTACCTCTGTTCTCTGCCTGAAAGTTTTTACTTATCTCCAATACTGTTCTGCAGCCATGGGTCAAAAAAGTTTCATGGCCAATGGGATTTTTAACAGGGTTCAGGTGTTAAGTCTTCATCTCTTTGGAGTCAAGGGTGGACTTGGTTCTATGAGGTTGAAGACACAGATGATTTAAAGACTTGATCTGTTGGTATTTAGGAGACTGCGTGTGTATGGACTCTAATAAATATGGACTCTAATTACAATTGGCTGATAAAAATTCCAAGTATATGAGAAAATGTAAAGTCCAGCCTCAGCACCAATGGTAGGTATGGTATATAATTATGTTTATTCTTAATTATGTAGGTTTGATAAGTGAATTCGCAAATTTTATACTAAAATGCAGATTTCTCATTCTCAGCAAGCAATCTTATCTTGGTTCTACATTTTATTCTCTAGAGCGGTGGCTTTCACTTTTTTCTTCACAGAATTCCTTTATCATCTTAAAATATTAAAGACCCCAAAATATTTTTTATGAATTATATCTATCAATAGTTACCATAATTGAAATTAAAGCTGCTATAAAGACACATGCACACGTATGTTTACAGCGGCACTATTCACAATAGCAAAGACTTGGAACCAACCCAAATGTTCATCAGTGATAGACTGGAATAAGAAAATGCAGCACATATACACCATGTAATACTATGCAGCCATAAAAAAAGGATGATTTCATGTCGTTTGTAGGGACATGGATGAACCTGGAAACCATCATTCTCAGCAAACTATCGCAGGGACAAAAAACCAAACACCACATGTTCTCACTCATAGGTGGGAATTGAACAATAAGAACACTTGGACATAGGAAGGGGAACATCACACACCGGGGCCTGTCTTGCGGTGGGAGGAGGGGGGAGGGATAGTATTAGGAGATATGCCTAATGTAAATGACGAGTTAGTGGGTGCAGCACACCAACATGGCACATGTTTACATATGTAACAAACCTGCACATTGTGCACATATACCCTAGAACTTAAAGTATAATAATAATAATAATAATAATAAAAAGAAAAATGATAAAACCACCACTTCTAAATTTGGATAATTGGAATATATTCAACACCCTTATCATATATTTGCAAAACAATTTACTAGAAACATATTCATAGCATTTTTCATAGATGGTTGGAATCTCAGTTTCTTCTTCATACAAAAGATTAATTCATAATGTATATTTTGTGATGTAGGCTGTGTGTTTATGTTATAAAAGTAAAATCATAAACAGATTTTTAAAAATTTCAGTCTAGCTTTACAGTCAAAGTGAATATTACCTTGAAGGTTTCCTATGATTTATTCATTTAAGATAAAGTTACTTTTCCAGCAACAACTATGAGAACTACAATGAGATATTTTTCTGTGCCAGGTATGCTACTAGGTACTAGATTTTACACATGTGTTTTAACCTAAGTCTCACCAATACCCTTATGAATTATGGGGAAAATATCTGATTTTACAAGAGAACTTTGAGCCCCAAAGTATTTGAAAAGAACTTCCCTGCAGCAACACATTTTAAAAAGTGTTGAAAGAAGGCATGAAGCTAACTTTCCTCAACATCAAGACCCTCACTCTTTCCTCTAAACTATTCTATCTTTACTTGCAAAGCACTTTGCTCTGTGCCCTGGAGGAACCAAAAGGAAATAGGATGCTACTTAGAAGTAATTTACAAACCCATATAGAGAAAATGAAAAAGTACCCAACCAAATAGAAGGGACTCTGAAGTATGAGATAGTATATGACAATTGATAGTATAACTGCGAGGTAGTTTCAAGATTGAAATGGTCAATTCCTCTTACGTAGATCAAAGAAGTTTTTTATGGACACTCTTCCACTGGTGATGGACTTTGAACAATCGTAATGAATTGCATTGTTAGAGGTACAAAGAATTGTTCAGGAAAAGAGAATGATGGGATCAAATCTAGGAGGCAGCAGTATTAGGAATATAGAATGTTCAATTGGGCTAGCACCTACAATAGGTATAGAAAATGATCACACACACAAAAAATTTTAATGTAGTTTATACCTGGATTATAGAGGCCCTAGACTCCTGGGCTTAGAAATGTAGAATTTATTCCAAATTTACAATGAAGAAATAGTCAGTGTTTCTCACATATATGGCCCAATCATTTTAAAGTTTGGAAAATTTAATGTCAGTGGACATAAAAAGGAAGAATGACAAGTCAGAAAAGGGCCTGCTGGGGAGTGAATGCAATGGTTTAGAGGAGAAACAGTAAAAGCCTACATGACTTAAAACAAAATTAGGGTCCGGGACAAGTAATACTGATTGGTCAAAGTAGAATTCAAAGTTTTATGTCTAAGTGACTAAAGAGTGGAAGTCAGATGGCAAGAGTAGAATCCCCTCTTGGGATATGGAGAGGGTAGAAGGATAAGGGCAAGAAGAAGTTTATGATATGAAGATCAGTTGTAAACTTGTGCAGACAAAGGGCGAAGTTAGGAATTGAATGTGACTGGAGCTGAAAAAATAGGTTAAGCTTCAGAAGAATTTTGGGTCTTATCCACAAAGAAGTAGATAATGTAGAAAACAAAACTGGATGGCCCCACTGAGGAATAGCACAGAAGAGTAGGAAAGAGAGCTGAGGTTGGAAGAATTCAACCTCTGGGGAAAAACAGCAGAAGCCCAGTACTGAGCAAATAGACTGAAAAAAAAAAATCCTATATTATGAAAGCCAAGAGAGGAAAACATTTCAAAAAGGGCAGGCGACCCACAATGTGGAAGGCATTAGAGAGGTTAACAATAGGGGAGAAGTGAGCAAAAGGTAATTCAGCTTTACAATTTGGAACGCTGTGTTGAACTTGAGGTTAGCTATTTGGGGAGACTGTTGGGGCAGAAATGGGGGCAGATATCCAAGCTGCATGGAATTAAACTGAAAGAGTAGAGAGAAATTGCTAGGAGATCTAGTTCAGAAGTGGCTGCAAATGCAAGCAGAGCAAAAAGACAACAGCTCTGAGAAGCAGAAAGGGCAAGGAAAATTTTGTACAAAGGAATATTTGTAGGCAGAGGTAGGAGAAACTCTTATGGTAAGAACTGCAGAGGCATGATTGAGGGAGAAAGCAAGAGAGGATGGAATCAAAAAGGAATACAGAATGTAAATCTTAGGAGAAGCAATGCTTCTTGATATGAGAATGGGAGGCTGATGATAGGGAATATACAAAAGAGTAAAAAGAGATTGTAATTTGGGGAGAAGGCAAACTTTGAAGAACCCACATTTATGGCATGGATTAATTTTGTTTTTCTCAGTTTTAAACATAAAATTTTTCTGTGTAGTGTCCAGTCTGCTCTATATGCTCTTAGCAAACACTATAAATAAATCAAAGCCCCCTAAATAATGCACGTATATGTACCAGCTCAGTTACTCTATGTTCATCTCTACCAGCAGTCTATTTTGATTTGTGCAGTTTCAAGAAATCCTCGTAAGTAAACATGTGGAATCCTTAGTCATAGATGCAAAAAAAGCTTAGCATGAATATTTGTATTCTTCCTCAGCCCTCTTCCTTTATCAAATTCGCTGCCTCTCTCTGTTTCTGCAGAGATACCCAAAGCTCCAAATTATTTTCTCAACTAACTGGCCAAATTGTGTGTAACCGGTTTAACAGAATATTACTTTCTAAGAGTTCACATTTTCCTAAGAAATCTTAAAAACCCACGGTAGTTCAAAGCAACATTTGACAGCCAGTTTATTTTAGCTCTCAGGTGTGAGAAGCTCCTTCAATATGTGCTATTATTTAAAGTAATAACGAGTTTTAAAGAAAATGAACTGCTACACTGAGAACTCACTGAAGATTCTTAAAATTGACTCTAGGGAATAATAAACTATGCAGGGAAATTTCACATTTGGGATTTTGTAGGCAGCACACAGTGAAGCCAGGAGTGTTCAATGAATGTATGCGACCCTTTCTTAGTGTCTGTCCCATCACTCCCAGGATAAACACGGCTCTCTTGAGGGCAATGTCAGAACAACTTAACATCACCCTTAAATGAATGAGGCCACAGTGCTGGGACCCAAAGTCTAATAATGAACAGTGACAAACGTTTCACCAAATGCGCCTTATACACAACCTTTCTCTGGAGTTTAGCAAAAGGGGTGATCAGAGTGGTGAGTATGATCACTGGCACATATTAAGGAGACTTCAGCCAATTTTTTCTCCTAAAACAAAATCATCATGAATTTAATCACCCTTGCTTTAAAAAGTGAGATTGTTTTAAATCCAAGCAAAAATAAGAGACAGATGTTTTCTCTTTATTTTTTTATTTAATAATTGTATCCATTTTGACACAAAAGTTTAATAATTGAAATCTGTCCCTTGCTAGGGGAGTAACCCATTGTCATTACATAATCATCATCATCCTCATTCTTATAGTTACCAATTAATAATCACTTATCATATACCAATCCCTATTCATGCACTCTACTATTTTATCTTAATCTACCCAAAATTTCTATGAGATGAATATTATTATTCAAAATTTAAAAATAAAGCTATTGAAGCACAAAAATGTTAAGTAATTTTTCCAAGTTATTCAGCTTTTTAAGTCATGATGGGAACCAGTACTTCTGACGCTAGTTTCCCTGGTATCGACTACTACCCTATGATACCATCTGTATACATATGTCTATTATGAATTTAGTGCTAATTTGTTTAGCAAAAACTACAGTAATGTTGCCATTCCATTTCAGCATGTGACCTCTAACAAAACAGAAGTCATTTTATAAAAACAATCACTTTCATATCATATATATGTGTGTGCATTTATGTATAGGTATGTGTATATATGTTTATAAACACACATATATTAAATATATATACACCCATGTGTAGCCAGAAATAAGCTTTCATCCATTCATTATAAGAAGACTTTATTTCAGTTTGTACATATCTGTATTAGTTGAGAATGGTTTTGCTTTAATAAAGATTAAATTTAGGATTCTGTGATGAAGCACTCGCTAAATTTTTAATGACATAATTAGTTTTACACAATTGTCTAGAACTGGGACGTAAGATATCTTGTTTTTTAATTTAGAAAAAGAAAGGCAATAATCTTGGTTAAAATAAGACTTGTGGATAAAATCTTAAAAACTATTGGACACTAATACTTCTGAAAATATGATAGACTGAATACACTAAAGTGCTCATTCACAGCAACAAAAACTAATACCTTTTGTTGAAGGACTGGGTTTAGAGGAAGTAAAGGAAATCTTCAAATAGAATTGACCCTTCTGTCCCAGGGAAATTAAAATAAAAAACTAACCCTGCTGATACATGAAAAGTGGGGTCACATTAGGACAAGTGCTTATATTAAAACTGAAATTCAGTAATTAAGTGTGCAAGGAGCAAAATGGGGGTGTAGAGGCTAGGATCGTTTGTTAAGCCAGGGAGGGTGGGACAATGATAAAATTGTCCTAGGGGACTGTGAGAACATAATAGCAGTAGAGATCTTAAATTTCCTTCATATTTCTCCCCCCAAAATGGATAGAATAGGTAGACAGCAAAAACCATGAACAATATTTATAACCAATTAGATGAACCCTAAGATAGCTACATATTGAGACAAATGAATAGTCAAAAATCTACAAGGAATCAAAGTCTGTGGAAGAGGAAGCAGAGGGAAACCATGGGGAGTCTGAGAGATGGGGATCAGTCTCTCAGATAGCCAATAGGTATTTCCCAAAGGAAGTTAGACTGATGAGATCATCAGCTAAAGTTATGAGGGACTTTGTCAAGTCCAATAGCAGGTAAGCATTGAGAGCTGAAGGTGCTGGAACCTTCAGATACCCTGTGACCTTGGGAAACTGACAAGCCAGGGCTCACTTTCAGGATGGATTCCCACAAATGGTAAGGAACTGCTGGGAGTGGAATAAAAGTTGAGCAAGACAGGGTCAGTAAAGACAAAGAAAAAGATAAGGTCAGGTAAGTGAGAAAAAGCAACCCAGCTAGGAAATCTCAAAAAGCTATCTTTCACAAGTTTTGTACGTTATTAATTTTATTTTTTAAGGTTTATTTTTTAAAATAATCACACAGTAAATTGAGTTTTTCAGTGCAAACTTCTATGAATTTTAAGACATGTATATGAATTTTAAGACACGTATAGATGTGTGTGACTACAACCAAAATCACCTCCAAAAAATACCTTTGTTCTCCTCCTTTATAGTGACACTCCCCCTCTGTCCCTAACCTTGAGCAACTACTGAGCTGTAACCCAATGGAAGAATCTCATATGCATGAAAACTTCCCGTATGGAACCTTTGGAGCTTAGCTTCAGAAGAAATAACGTATTTGAATTCATATAACTGCTGCACATATGAATTTTTATTCCTGAGAAATATTCTGTTGTGTGGATGTACTACAGCTTCTATATCCATTTGCCTGTTGAAGGACATTTGGGTTATTTCCAGATTTGGCGATTGTGAATATAGCTGCAATAAACATTTATGTTCACATTTTTGGGCAAACATAAATTTTTATTTCTCTCATCCTTCAGGAGTGAGATGGTTGGGTCACAACATAAGCAACTCTCAGTTTTCTATAGTGCCAGTACCATTTTGCCTTCCCGACAGCAATGTATGAAAGTTCTGGTTGTTTCAAATGCTTGCCAGCACTTGTTTTTGTTTTTCCATGTTTTAAAAAGTTACTTATCCTAATAAATGTGTGCTGTTATATAATGGTGGCTTAGCTTGCAATTCTCTAACAGCTAATAATGTCAAATATCTTTTCTGGCTCTTATTTGCTATTCATACATCCTCTTTGGTGAACTATGTGTTAAAATCTTTTGTTTACTTTTTAAAATTAATTTTAACTAACATTTTATTTCACCCAATTTGTAAAAAACACAAGGCCTTTGTTGGATATGTAGTCTTTTCCACAGAGCACACATTTTTAATTTTGAGATGGTATACAATTTATTATTTTTTCTTTTACAAATAGTCCTTTTGGTGTCATGTCTTGTAACTCTTTGTCTAATGTTAGGTCTCAAAGATGTTTTCTCCTAAAAGTTTGATAATTTCATGTTTTACATTTAGAGATATCTATTTTTGATTAATTTTTGCACACTATGTGAGGTTAAGATAGCAGTTTATTTTCAAAAAATACATAGATGTCCAATTGTTTGAGTGCCATTGGTTAAAAAGTCTACTTATTCTCCACTAAATTGCTTCGGAACTTTTATTACAAATCAAATGGTTATGTTATGTGGGTCTATTTCTTGGATTTTTAACACTACATTGATCTATGTGGCTATATCTTTGCAAATCCCATACTCTTGTGATTACTGTAAGTGTACAGTAACATTTAAAATTAGGTAATATGATTATTCCAAATTTGTTCTTTTAAAAAATGTTTTAGCTATTGTAAAAGAGATTTTATATATTAAGAAATTCTGTCTGAGATTTTGATTGTAATTGCATTAAATTATAGATCGATTTGGGGAGAACTGACCTCTTTGCTATGTTGAATCTTCCAATTTATGAATATGGTATAGCTCTACTTATTTTAGATTTTCTTTAATAATTTTTATCATCACCTTGTGGTTTTCAACATATAGATCATATATGCATTTTGATTTATACATAATTTATACATAAGTATTTCATATTAGGTAACACGAACTAATTTTTTTTAAATTTTGTTTCCAATTGCATGTTGCATGTGGGAAATAATGAGTTTTCTGTATTAACTTTATACCCTACTACTTTGTTTTTTTTTGAGATGGAGTCTCGCTCTGTCGCCCAGGCTGGAGTGCAGTGGCACAATCTTGGCTCACTGCAAACTCTGCCTCGCTGGTTCAAGGGATTTTCCTCTCTCAGCTTCCCGAGTGGCTGGGACTACAGGTAAGTGCCACCATGCCCGGCTAATTTTTGTATTTTTAGCAGAGACAGAGTTTCACCATCTTGGCCGGGCTGGTCTCGAACTCCTGACCTCATGAACTGCCCGCCTCAGCCTCCCAAACTGCTGGGATTACAGGCGTGAGCCACTGCGCCCTGACACCCTACTACCTTTTGAAACTCACTTACTAATTCCAGTTTTTGTGTTTATACAGGTTTTAGATTTGCTACATAGACAATCATGTGAATAGGGGTGGTTTTGTTTTTTCCTTTCCAAATGTGTTAATTTTTTTCTTGCTTTTTTGCAGTGGCATAAAGGAGAAAAAATGGAAAAGACAATATTTTGAATAAACAATGGTTATGGATTCCTCAAGTAGGTACAAGAAAACGATAAATTCCTGTGCCCTGAAAGTATGTCACAATAAGAAGAAATCCTCATCCCAACAAACTATAGTAACACTGCAGCAGAACAAAGGCTAAGAGAACATACTTGAAGAAGGCAGAGAGAAAAGATATATTACACAGGAAGAAATGACAATTAAATTGATAACAGCATTCCCCTATTCTATCAGTAGAAAAGAAAACAATAGAGTTGAATAATACATTAAAAGATGCTTAAAAGTGTATAATTGGAAGCCTAGATTATGTGACAGAAAAAATAAAAGGCTTTCGGGAATGAAATGATATAGAAAAGCTGTCAAGTAAGTAAAAACTGAGAATGTTTTCTACTAACAGAACTCTACCCAAGGCAATTTCATAGAAGGCACTACTAGGAAAAGTATGCTATCAAAAGAAAGTCAAAAATGCAAAAGAAATGGTAAACTATTAAACTGGCAAACATATAAGTACAGATAGGCACATACTGATTAAACAAATAATACTAATAAAATTCACATATTCAGGTTTTTGAACAAAATTACCATGTAAGTCAAGATTAGATGTGTTGGAATTTAGATGTTTTCATATTCCTCTCTTGTTTAGAAGGGGTTTTCAAGTAGCAATTTTATACTTTGTTAGGTGGGTATGGTTAAAATGTAAGGATAATCACTAAAGTAATAGAAATAAGGTATGGTCTCTGCAAAATGGAATAATAAAAACATATAAAAGGAAAAAACCCTCAATTTATAGAAGTCAAGAAAGATGATGAAGAAGCATTGAGAGAGCATGAGAAAGAGAAAGCAACAAGACAGTGAGAACCAGACCTAAGATATTAATAATCATGATAAATGTAAATAGTCTACGTCCATCAGATTAAAACTAAAGATCATTTTAGTATACAACGTAAAATAAAATTTAGCTCAATATTGTTTGATAGACACATATATAAAACATCATGTTATGAAAGGACATAAAGTAAAGGTTTAATTGAAAATAGATTCAGATAAAATATTAACCAAAAGAAAGCTGGAATAATTATATTAATATCAGACATACTGCATAATACTCTTTTTTGTTTTATTTTGTTTTGTTTTTGACACGGAGTCTCACTCTTTGGCCAGGCTGGAGTGCAGTGGCACAATCTCTGCTCACTGCAAACTCCACCTCCTGGGTTCAAGCGATTCTCCTGCCTCAGCCTCCCAAGTAGCTGGAACTACAGGCACACACCACCACGCCACGCTAATTTTTTGTATTTTAGTAGAGACAGGGTTTCACCATGTAGGCCAGGATGGTCTTGATCTCCTGACCTCATGATCTGCCCACCTCGGCCTTCCAAAGTGCTGGGATTACAGGCGTGAGCCACTATGCCCAGCCATATACTCTTTTTAAAAAGAGCTTTGTAAGGGATATAGAAGTCATCATATAAAGATAAATGTTCAATATATCAGAAAGACACAAAATTGATATAAACTTACGTATAACATGAAATAGCACCTGATATAAAAATTGATTAAACTACAGGGATAAACTGATAATTTCTCATCATAGGAGGAGATGTCAATATAGTTTATTCAGTTATTGATACTTCAAATATACAAAAAGTCAAAGAAGATACAGGGTAATTAAAAAGACAATTAAGCTTGATTTAACGGCTATAGAATTGTGCTTTCAACCATTAGCAAAGACACAATCTTCTCAATCATATATACAGTATTTACTGAAACTAATATATTAGTTCACAAGATAAACACTGAACACATTTCAAAGAAAACACTTTTCCTGTGATTACTACACAATTAAATTGGAGTTCGGTTAAATAAGAATAACGTCAGTAATTCTCATAGGTTTAGAAATTTTAAAATATACTCTATAAATAAAATCTAATACACTAGTTAAAATTAATTATAGTGGAAATTAAATATGCTTAACATTGAATTGTAATGAAAATACTACATATAAAAGTTTGTGGGATGCTGCTGAAATAGTGCTTAAAGGAAAATTTATTGCTGTTACATACATATGTAAAAGTAGAAAGGAAATAGATTAATAAAATAAGCATACATATTTGATATTTATAAAGGAAACAGAAAAACCTCAAATAAATGGGAAGCATTGCAAATGTCCATCAAGAGTAGAACTGATTAAATGTGTATGTTCACAAAGTAATATACTATATATGGCAGTGAAAATAAGTAAAATATAACTACTCAAAAATACTGATAAATCTGAGAAGCATAACATTAAGTAAAAAATTTCAGAGTATGTTCTACAATGTGCTACACACACACAGAGATGAGAGACCAATACATGTCATAAAATTAGAAAAAAGTAATCAAGGGAATCAATTGTAAAATGAAACTCATTGTAGTAGTTACTTCTGATAGAAATCAAGGGTTGGAATAGTGAAGTTACAGTATTTGTATTATCCAGTTTTCAAATATATGTTACTTTGTATGTATCAGAAACTACATAATAAAGTATTTTTAAAGAACAAAATAGACTGGAATAATTTATATTAGTAAGAGGGATAGGAAATTCACATTTTTGATATTAATTTGTATATAAATGAAAGCTATGAAAAAAAATTATGATCTCTCTCCCAAAACTTCATTTTCCAATAAATTATTTTAGAAATGGGAAGGTCTTTTTTTCTCTTTCTGTTTTTGATTTCAGTATATAATCAATCTTACTTGCTGAAACAACGTAAAAAAAAAGCCATAAATAACAGTTATATATTTATAGCAATGGATTTTTTTTCACAAACAATATTAACAAAGTAGTAAAAGAGACTTAATAGTCATTTTAGTTTCAGCAATTCAGTTTATTTTTTGGAAACATTTAGATCTAATTTTAGACAAATGAATTCAAAACATAATTGGGCATGAATAACATTATTCAAACTCATTTTGTAAAGTTAAGCAAACAATGTTTAAAGACTTGTTCTATAACTACATCCGAATTAGACTATTAAATTTTCTTGTGCAGTGCTAGATATGGGACTGGCATATGTTGTAAAGTGATAAAATTGATTAATTTATTTAAAAGTCAAAATATTGATGTGTCATCATTAATCATTGCATATTATTTTTATCAACAACTTAGTCTAAGATAACAGAAGTTACTTGATTTTTGAGGTGAATTTACTCTGAAGTAGCTTTTAGGTTGAATTTGGTTATGCTAGAAAGTATCATTAATTTAATTATGTAAAAAAGGAAAGCAAAGATGCTATCAACATAAAATGAAGTATATTCTGTTTGTGTTTAAGAATTTCTGTGTTTAAGAAGATTAGTTGTTTTCTGCCACTGAATTATCATTTTATAATTTACTTACTCATTAATAGTAACATTATTATTTGACAAATTGAAATATTACTTCAAATGGGAATGACATACTTATTGGGAAATTCTAGTTTTCTGAAATTACTGAAAATTTTCAATTTGGGAAAATATAATCAATAAAAATAGGTTATACTTTTATTTATTCATCATTATATATTATAAGGACAAATATGATGCTTTAGTTATGGTTAATTATAGTCATTAAAAGAATCTTTACTAGATATTCATTTCACAGTTTTCTTTTCAGACGTAAGATACACTAAACATGTAAATTCAGAAAAAGAATATAAACTTTTATATCTATGAAATCTGTATTTAATTTTATCTTATGCTTAAATTTCAGACTAATTTTCAAAGTGCTTAATTCTGACATCTAAAATATCTATTATACTCTAATATTGAAAGAACTACCTTATTTACTTAGCATATTTATAAAGGAAGGAAAAAAATGCAGAACCAAAATACTAGATCAGAATATTAAAAGTTAGAAAGCTTTTGAAAAATCACAAAAGTAAGATAGAAAGAAAGTTGTTTAAAAACATGGAAATCCTAACTACTTTTCTAGCAGGCTTGGTTGAAACTTCATTATAAAGTAGTAAACTTCTAGAAAAGACTAAATTTATTATTATGGAGATGTCAAAGTTAAATTTATTATCTTGGACTAATATCAAAATTGTATCTCAAAGTTTATAATGATCTCACAACTTGGTGCATTCAGGTAATTTTGATGAAGTGCTAATGGCAAAAATGCTCCCCTATTCAAGAAAAAAAAAATTACAGGAAACATGGCAAAGTTAAACCTCCGCATACAATAATCTCAAGAAATGTTCCTACTACACTATTTCATTTGAAATACTCATTTTGAGGATCTAACAAACCTAACTTTATATAAATGTTGACTCCCAGACTACAGCAACAAAATAACTATGCACACCTATAAAATCTTTTTCTTTGATATACCAACATCCATTGGGATAAATATCTTGCCAGGGCCATCCCCCTGTCTAGAGCCTTATGACTCTTCCGGTTGAAAAACCTTCCCGCAGCATTGTTTGCCTTTTAAGAATGTATTTTATCATCCCTTGGTTTTATTTCACATTTTGCCTTTGGGCAAGTTCCTGGAAAATAATATTTTAGGATGTATTTTTGCTTTTTTAGAGAAAAAGTTTTCAAAAAATTTAAAATGTTAATATCAGGAATAGATTGTGGTGTTATTTAAATTTTAAGAATGTGGGATTTTTTTGCTTTTAATTTTTAAAATAATAAGTACTAAATATAATAAAATCTCACACATCCTCCTCCCAATGTCTTCCTCCAAACTCCATGAGAAGCACATTATTTATCATATATTTACCATATATACAAAAATAAAGATACAGAATAAAAATCAAATGAATATTTAGAAATTAGAAAGCAAGAGGCTGGGAGCAAGATGGCTGTTTAGATTCAGCTAATACGAGCCTCTTCCATGGAAAGAAACAAAAGTATCAAGTAGATAGTCAGACTTTGAATAGATGGTCTAAGAGATTACACTGGAATTCAACAGAGAAGTGATAGGAAGCACCAAAAGCAAAGAAAGAAAAGAAAGTGTAGCAGTCTGTCTGGCTGTGATGGGCTGGCAGCCAGGAGAAGCTCTGGAATATGGGGAAAGTGTAAGTAAGTGTTTCCCAGGGCCCCACATTTCAGCCACAGACTAACAATACTAGATATGGGAGAGTTCCTCAACTCTTGCAGGCCTCAAGATTAACATGGAGAGCTGCCTGAAGATTATGCAAAGGCATTGCTCCAAAGAAGGAACTCATATTGAGCCCCACAGGCTTCTGAGCCCTGAGCAGCTATAGCATGACATCATTCTGAGAGCTCAGCTCCAAAAGGACTGTGTCCTGCCCTGGAGTCAATGCTGCCACTGCCACCTTGACAAGGTCAAGGAGGGAGAAGGAAGGCCTGGCACTTTCATGATGTGCCCCGAAGACAAATTCCACTGTTGCTGCTGAAGGTTGCTACAGAACCAAGGTGCAAGAAAACTACGTGTCCCTAGTTGCCTGCCTATGCCACTCTATTGAGAGTGGTCCCATCATCCTTAGTGGCAGGCCCACAGCTGTCACCAGTCTGATAGCACAGGCCCAAAGGACTGTGTTCTGCCCTGGGGCTAACATCACCATGGTCACTAAGGAGGGAGAGGGAAGGCAGGCCATTTTCACACAGCCAAAATCAAAGCAACAACTGTTACACCAGATGCATAGATAGCAACATAAGGATATGGAAAACAAAACAAGAAAATATGATACCTACAAAGAAATACAATAATTGTCTAGCAATAGATCCCAATGGAAAAGAAAATCACAAAATCCCACAAAAACAATCAAAATACTGATTTCAAAGAAGTTCAGTGAGATACAAGAGAATTCTGAAAAACAATACAGAGAAGTCAGGAAAACAATTTAGGATATGAATCGGAAATTTAAAAAAGAGATAGCTATTTTAAAATAGAACCAAATTGAAATTCTGAAACTGAGGAATTCATTGATAAAATACAAAACACATTGGAAACCTTTATCAAGTAAAAGAAAATCAAGTAAAAGAAAGAAAAATCAAGTAAAAGAAAGAATCTCAGAACTTGAAAACAGGTCTTTGGAAATAAACCGGTAAGTCACAAATAAAGAAAAATAACTTAATGATGAGCAATTTTTTTTTGTTACAGTTAGGATGACATAAAGTGACAGAATATTGAAATTATCAATGTCCCCAGGAGCAAAGAGGGTTGGAAAGGGTTAGAAAATCTATTTAACGAAATAATGGATGAAAACACCTCAAGTCTAGCAAGACACTTGGACATCCAGTCACAGGAGAAAACTAACAGGAATTTATAGAACATTTTGTCAACAACTACAGAATATACAAGTTTCTCCAGTTAGAAAGAAAACTAACAGAAAGCAATAACATCAACATCAACAAAAAGGACATCCATGCAAAAACCCCATCCAAAGGTCACCAACAACAAAGATCAAAGTTAGATAAATCCACGAAGATGAGAAAAAGCTAGTGCAAAAATGCTGAAAATTCCAAAAACTAGAATGCCTCTTCTCCTCCAAAGGATCACAACTCCTCGCCAGCAAGGGAACAAAACTGGACAGAAAAGGAGTTTGACGAATTGACAGAAGTAGGCTTCAGAAGGTGGGTAATAACAAACTCTTCCAAGCTAAAGGAGCATGTTCTGACCAAATGCAAGGAAGCTAAGAGCCATGAGAAAAGATTACAGGAGCTGCTAACTAGAATAACCAGTTTAGAGAAGAACATAAATGACTGATGGAGCCGAAAAACACAGCACGAGAATTTCCTGAAGCATACACAAGTATCAATAGCCAAACTGATCAGAAGAAGAAAAGGTAACAGAGACTAAAGATCAACTTAATGAAATAAAATGTGAATTCAAGATTAGAGAAAAAAAGAATAAAGAAGAACGAACAAAGCCTCCAAGAAACATAGGACTATGTGAAAAGACCAAACCTATGTTTAATTGCGGTATTTAAAGTGACGGGGAGAATGGAACCAAGTTGGAAAACACACTTCATGATATTATCCAGGAGAACTTCCCCAACCTAGTAAGACACACCAACTTTCAAATTCAGGAAATACAGAGAACACCACAAAGATACTCCTCAAGAAGAGTAACTCCAAGACACATAGCCATCAGATTCACCAAGGTTGAAATGAAAGAAAAAATGTTAAGGGCAGCTAGAGAGAAAGGTCAGGTCACCCACAAAGGGAAGCCCATCAGACTAACAGCAGATCTCTCTGCAGAAACCCTATAAGCCATAAGAGAGTGGGGGCCAATATTCAACATTCTTAAAGAAAACAATTTTCAACCCAGAATTGCATATCCAACCAAACTAAGCTTCATAAGCAAAGGAGAAATAAAATCCTTTACAGACAAGCAAATGCTGAGGGATTTTGTCACCACCAGGCCTGCCTTACAAGAGCTCCTGAAGCAAGCACTAAATATGGAAAAGAAAAACTGTTACCAGTCACTGCAAAAACATACCAAAATGTGAAGACTATCAACACCATGAAGAAACCGCATCAACTAATATGCAAAATAGCCAGCTGGCATCATAATGACAGGATCAAATTCACACATAACAATGTTAACCTTAAATGTAAATGGGCTAAATGCCCCAATTAAAAAACACAGACTGGTAAATTGGATAGAGTCAAGACTCATCAGTGTGCTGTATTCAGGAGACACGTCACACATGCAAATACACACATAGGCTCAAAATAAAGGGATGGAGGAAGATTTACCAAGCAAATGGAAAGAAAAAAAAAGCAGGGGTAGCAAATCCTAGTCTCTGATAAAATAGACTTTACACCAACAAAGATGAAAAGAGACAAAGGAGGGCATTACATAATGGTAAAGGGATCAATGCAACAAGAAGTGCTATTTTAAATATATGATGCACCCAATACAGGAGCACCCGGATTGATAAAGCAAGTTCTTAGAAACCTACAAAGAGACTTAGACACCCACACAATAATAGTGGGAAACTTTAACATCCCACTTTCAATACTAGACAGAACAACAAGACAGAACATTAACAAGGATATTCAGGACTTGAACTCAGCTCTGACCCAAGCGGACCTAACAGACATCTACAGAACTCTCCAACCAAATCAGCAAAATATACATTCTTTTCAGCACCACATAGCACTTATTCCAAGATTGACCACATAGTTGGAAGTAAAGCACTCCTCAGCAAATGCAAAAGAATGTAAATCATAACAGTCACTCAGATCACAGTGCAATCAAATTATAACTCAGGATTAAGAAACTCCCTCAAAACCGCAAAACTACATGGAAACTGAACAACCTGCTCCTGAATGACTACTGGGTACATAAAGAAATGAAGGCAGAAATAAATGAGTTCTTTGGCAGCAGTGAGAATGAAGACACAATGTACCAGAATCTCTGGAACACAGATAAAGCAGTGTTTAGAGGGAAATTTATAGCACTAAATGCCCACATGAGAAAGCGGGAAAAATTCAAAATTGACACACTAACATCACAATTAAAAGAACTAGAGAAACAAGAGCAAACAAATTCAAAATCTAGCAGAAGACAAGAAATAACCAAGATCTGAGGAGAACTGAAGGAGATAGAGACACAAAAATCCCTTCTAAAAATCAATGAATCTAGGAGCTGTTTTTTGAAATGATTAGCAAAATAGACCACTAGCCAGACTAATACAGAAGAAAAGAAAGAAGAATCAAATAGACACAATAAAAAATGATAAAGGGGATATCACCACTGATTCCACAGAATTGCAAACTACCATCAGAGAATACTATAAACACTTCTATGCAAATAAACTATGAAATCTAGAAGAAATGGATAAATTCCAGGACACATACACCCTCCCAAGACCAAACCAGGAAGAAGTCAAATCCCTGAATAGACCAATAAAACGTTCTGAAATTGAGGCACTAATTAATAGCCTATCAACCAAAAAAAAAAGGCCCACGAGCAGATGGATTCACAGCCAAGTTCTACCAGAGGTACAAAGAGGAGTTAGTACCATACCTTCTGAAACTATTCCAAACAATAGAATAAGAAGGACTCTTCCCTAGCTCATTTTATAAGGTATAAGGCCAGCATCATCCTGATACCAAAATCTGGCAGAGACATAACAGAAAAAAAAAAAAAGAAAATTTCAGGCCAATATCCCTGATGAACATTGATGCAAAAGTCCTCAATAAAATACTGACAAACCGAATCCAGCAGCACATCAAAAAGTTTATCCACCACGATCAAGTTGGCTTCATCCCTGGGATGCAAGGTTGGTTCAACATGTGCAAATTAATAAACATAATCCATCACATAAACAGAATCAATGACAAAAACCACATGATTATCTCAATAGATGCGGAAAAGTCCTTTGATTAAATTCAACACTCCTTCATGCTAAAAACACTCAATAAACTAGGTATTGATGGAATGTATCTCAAAATAATAAGAGCTATTTATGACAAACCCACAGTCAATAGCATACTGAATGGGCAAAAGCTGGAAGCATTCCCTTTGAAAACTGGCACAAGACAAGTATGTGCTCTCTCACCACTCCTATTTAACATAGTGTTGGAAGTTCTAACCAGGGCAATCAGGCAAGAGAAAGAAAGCATATTTTAATAGGAAGAGAAGAAGTCAAATTGTCTCTGTTTGCAGATGATATGATTGCATATTTAGAAAACCCCATTGTCTCAGCCCAAAAACTCATTTAGCTAATAAGCAACTTCTGCAAAGTCTCAGGATACAAAATCAATGTGCAAAAATCACAAGAATTCCTATACACCAATAATAGACAAACAGAGAGCCAAATCATGAGTGAACTCCCATTCACAATTGCTACAAAGAGAATAAAATATCTAGGAATACAACTAACAAGGAATGTGAAGGACCTCTTCAAGGAGAACTACAAACCATTGCTTAAGAAAATAAGAGAGGAAACAAACAAATGGATAAACATTCCATGATTATGGAGGGGAAGAATCAATATCGTTAAAATGACCCTACTACCTAAAGTAATTTATGGATTCAAAGCTATTCTGGTCAAGCTACCACAGACTTTCTTCACAGAATTAGAAAAACTACTTTAGATTTCATATGGAACCAGAAAAGAGCCTGTATAGTCAAGACAATCCTAAGCAAAAGGAACAAAGCTTGAGGCATCATGCTACCTGACCTCAAACTATACTACAAAGCTACAGTAAACAAAACAGCATGGTACTGGTACCAAAACAGATATATAGACCAATGGGACAGAACAAAGGCCACAGAAATAACACCACACATCTACAACCACCTGATCTTTGACAGACCTGACAAAAACAAACAATGGGAAAAGGATTCTCTATTTAATAAATAGTGTTGGGAAAACTGGCTAGTCATATGCAGAAAACTGAAACTGGACCCCTTCCTTACACCTTATACAAAAAATTAACTGAAGATGGATTAAAGACTGAAATAAAATTAAACAAAAGATCAATAAAATTGTGCGTTGAAATAATAAAATCAAAACAGCCAGCTAGCCTAAGCAGGAATATAAGAAATAAGATCCAAATAAACTCAGAGGAAAAAGGAGACAGTATAACAGATACCACAGAAATACAAAAGATCAAGCTGGGTACAGTGGCTCAAGCCTGTAATCCCAGCACTTTGGGAGGCTGAGGCGTGTGGATCACCTGAGGTCAGGAGTTCGAGACCAGACTGGCCAACATGGTGAGACCCTGTCTCTACTGAACATACAAAAATTAGCCAGGTGTGGTGGTGGGCACCTGTAATCCCAGCTACTCCAGAGGCTGAGGCAGAAGAATTGCTTGAACCCAGGAGGCAGAAGTTGCACTGAGCTGAGATCACGCCACTGCACTCCAGCCTGGGTAACAGAGTGAGACTCCATCTCAAAAAAAATAAAAATAAAAATCAGAGACTTATATGCACAACTACATGCTAATTAACTGGAAAAAATATTGGATACTGATAAACTCCTGAAAACATAAAACTCACCAAGATCGAATCAAGAAGAAATAGGACCTGAACAGACCAACTGTAGCAAAATTTAGTCAGTAATAAAACAATCTCTCATCAAAGAAAATTCCAGGACTGGATGGATTCACAGTCAAATTCTATGAAACATAGAAAGAAAAACTTAATACCAGTTTTAAAACTATTCCAAGAAATTAATGAGGTGAGAACCCTCCATAACTCAATCTACAAGGTCAGCATTACCCTGATACCAAAACCAGACAAGGACACACAAAGAAATAAAACTCCCAACCAATATCTCTGTTGAATATAGATGCAAAAATCCTCAACAAAATACTAGCAAAATGAATCCAACATCATTTTGAAAAGATACTACACCATGACCAAGTAGGATTCATCCCAGGGATGCAAGGATGGCTCAACATGTGCAAATCAATAAACCTGATACATCACATCAACAGATTGAAGGACAACCCATTTGAAAAGTGGGCAAATGAACAGACATCTCGCAAAAGAATACATACAATCAGCCAACAAACATATGAAAACATGCTGAGCATTACTAATTATGACAGAAATTAAAACCATAATAAGATACTATCTTACACCAGTCAGAATGGCTATTATTAAAAAGTCAAAAAAAATATGTTGACGAGGATGTGGAGAAAAGGAAGGCTTATACACTGTTGGTTGGAATGTAAATTGGTTCAATTCCTATGGAAAACATTATGGAGAGTTCTCAAAGAACTAAATTAGAACTAACATTTGACCCAGTAATCCCACTACTGCATATCTACCCAAAGGAAAATAAATAATTATATTAAAAAGATACCTGTACTTCTATGTTTATTGCAGCACTATTCACAATAGCAAAGTCATGGAATCAACCTAAGTGCCCATTAAGGGATAATTAGATAAAGAACATGTAGTATTTATACACCACAGAATACTATGAAGCCATAAAAAACAGTAAAATCATGTATTTTGCAGCAACATGGATGGAGTTGAAGCCCATCATCATACGTGAAATAACTGAAACAGAAAATCAAATTTATCATGCATTATCACTTACAAGTGGGAGCTAAATGATGTGTACACATGGACATAAAGATGGAAATAATAGACATGATGATTTCAAAAGGGGGAAGAATAGAATGTCCTAGCCGGAACAATCAAAACAAGAGAAAGAAATAAATAGAATGTCCCAGCCAGAACAATGAAACAGGATAAAGAAATAAAAGGCATCCACATTGGAAAATAATTCAAACTATCCCACTTTGCTGATGATACGATCTTATATCTAGAAAAACCTAAGGACTCCACCAAAAAAACTTCTAGATTTGATAAATAAATTTAGTAAAGTTGCAGAATACAAAATCAACATAAAAATGAGTAGCATTTCCATACACCAATAATGAACTAGCTGAAGAAGAAATCAAGAAGGTAATTGCATTTATAACAGCTATAAGAAAAATACCTAGGAATAAATCTAATCAAGAAAAAGAAAGATCTCTACAAGGAAAACTACAAACACTGATTAAAGAAATTGACGAGAACACAAACAAAAGACATGACTTGCTCATGGCTGTAAAAGTTGGAGGACCTGGTCCCTGCTAGACAAGAGGTGCAGGCACTAGAGTGGAGTTAGGGGAAGAGAGTGATGGCCACAAAGCACAGCTATTTCATGAAGCTCCTTTAGTTAAAGAGAAACAAATGACTGAAAAAAAAGTCTGAGCCCCAAAACCCACTCCTACCACCACCACTAGCAAAATATACATATACATAATGCTGTAAAAGGATTCGGAAAAAGAATGATACTTGTTTAGTTTCAAATATATATAGTATGCTCTTCTTTATAAATACCTAAGACAGTTTTTTGATGATTGCTCCTAAAAAAGCATAATAAAAACAATAATATGTGCTATAGAGGAAATAAGCTTCATATACTCAGAAAACCACCTTATTAAACAATCATTCCATGATGTCTCTGATCATTTATTTTAATATGGATCACAGAAATGATATATTTTAAATGATATATTTTTCTTTCTGATATATTTTTCTTTTCAGTTACTGCTCATAATCTTACTCTTACTACTACTACTGCTATTACTATGAAGTTAGGTGTCCCAATAATTCCTTGACTTTTTACTTCCTTCTAGGAGGAAGTAAACCATAGCTTTCTGTGGCACATTCTAAAATATTTTGGCCTTGAATATTCTCTACCTGACAGTTTCACCCGAAATGTGCTTACTTCCCACTTCTTTCCAACACTACACCTCAACTTCAACCAATACTTCTGATGCTATCTTTCTTTGTCAGTCATTTCTATCCTTTTCTCCAGCTATCCAAATCCTAACCATTCTTCAAGGCAAAAATCTTGGCATTACCTCCTTATGTAGTCAGCTCTCATTACCTTTGGCTGTAGGGGAATGGTGTGGAATAGGGCAGCTTCCAAGGGCCTTTCCTTTTATCTATACATTTTGTCCTTGCCATCAGTGGGACAATTTTGTGTCCTTACAATATCTTTCCTTTTTTTAAATTCCTGAAGCAAGTCTATGATCACCTGTAATCAAAGACCTTTGAATGACATGTGGTATCATATTTTAATGGTTCCTTTTTATTGTCTTCAATATTAACATTGGGTACAGTAGGACCTTCTCTATCCAATGCTGTAGCCACTGACTACATGGGGATTTGGGAAATTGAAATGTGACTAGCACAAGATAAAATGTAGTGTAAGTGTAAAATACACATAAGATTTCAAAATCTCAATACAAAAAAAGAATGTAGGGATAAATACTTTTCTATATTGATTATATATTGAAATAACATTTGTATAAAATAAGTTACATAAAATAAAATATTACTAAAATTATTTCCACTTGTTTTGTTTTGTCTTTTAATGTGTCAACTAGAAAATTAAAATAACATATTAAAATTAAAATTACACATATGAAATTAAAATTACATATATGTAATTAAAATTAAAATTACATATATGTCACATTTTATATTTGTATTGGGTGGTACTTATTTAGAATATTTTTTCATAAATATGGAAATAAAAAAGGATAAATTGTTATTTCCTTGAATCTTAGGAACTTGTAAGAATATTTACAGTTATATCCTATATACATAGAATTTCTATCTGTACCTGGATCCTGATATTCTAGAGAATCTATTCTGGGAGCTGTGGTTTATACTATAGGAGATACATCCATTCCTAACTATGCTGTTTTTCTTATATACACAATTATATTTAGGTTTCTTAGATATACAATTATATTACAATTTAGGTTTACAATTAAATTATAGCTATACAATTAAATTACAATTTAGGTTTCTTAGATACACAATTTTATTTAGGTTAACGAACACTAGAAAACAGCAGCAAAAGCATCACTGTTCGACCATATGTGGTCTTTAACAAATTTCTAGTGATTGACAGTTAAAGGCAGATACAGAATTATTTTATTTCACTTGAATTTAATCACTGAAAACATTTATTTATTTAAATGCAAGTCATTTTTATTTTCAGGCTTGAGAAAATAATAAGATATTTCTGTTACAAGTTGTAATTTCAAATAACATAGTTTTTTTTTTAAGTTTCAACGTAAGTAACAATAAAAGCTAATAAATTCCTGTCAGAGGATTCAGTTTAGAATAAACTATACTGAACACTTCAAAAATAAAAATATTTTATGAATTTCATCTTAAAATTGATACTATGTATCAAAGAGAACTTGTCATTAATACAAACCGTACTTACTTGATACTCTTGCAGGTTTTTCTGCTAAAAAGAGAAAATAAATAAGTTTTGTTTAACTGAGATAAAATGCAAGGAAATTATAAATCAGTGGACTTTATAAAAATATCTAATTATTTTGTTTCTTGCTTATTATTTAAGAATCAATGAAGAAATACAGTCATCTGTTGCCTGTCAACATAAGTCTTTGTTTTGTTATA